>NC_000001.11:237699273-237850788 GCF_000001405.40 Homo sapiens
GGTAATGTATCACGCAGGAAAAATGGTAATCTGACAACTCTAGAGATCTTGTTAGCTTCCAGGCGTGATATTTGTGCTTAACATTCATAATAACATTTGGCTTTTTAGGAAACAGAGTTTTATTCTCATTTTACAGATGAATAAAGTGATGTTTAAGATTGCATACTAAGTGTGTAGGTAGACGAATTCCCATCTGTGTGCTTTCTACTCTGCCCTGTCAACTTGACCAGAAATCTAGCATGTTGACCAAATACAAAATCAGTTCATTTAGCATGATTGATTCAGCCATACATTTAGTTTATATCTAGGATAAATCTAAATAAAAGTTTATAAATGTCTCCTAAAGAGAATATTCCACAATACTCTTTGATTATCCATTCTTGCGTTTAAGATTTCATTTAAGGTCTTTTGTATGATAAATGCAGAAAGGAGACACCATTACAGACCTTCACTTCCTACTACAAATAGTGGCATTAAGGTATGAAGTTCAGCCTTCGGCGGCTTCATTAGAAAAGACTTGATTGCTACACCTTAAAACACAAACATTCTGTATCATTTGTTGAGTTGGTTTAGCTGGCATGAAATTTTTTTTGCTACTCATTGCCTCAGGAAACATTCTAGTTTTGTTGGATTTCGGATTAACTATACTCACTCAGAAGCTGTGTTTTGTTAGTTAAATTGGAGACCGTTAGTGATAAGCATACAGCATTAGCACAGACTTTTGCAGCAAGGTTTTAATAAGTTGACTATGAAGGCATTTGGAAAAGATAATTTACAGAGCAGTATTGCTGTAACTTCAAGTATATTGAAAAAATTTGTTTTAGAGTTGATTTTAAAAGTTGGTTACCAGGTGAGTAGAGTAATGGAGAAATAAACATCATAAGAGAACCACAATTCATTTATATTTCATTTGTTCCTGTTGGAAGATACGAGTCCTCCCTTATTTACTTTCTAGGACAGTGATGAAGACTGGCCTGGAGAGTGTTAAAAGTGCACTCAGAGCTTTTCTGGACAACGCTGCAGAGGATCTGGAGAAGACCATGGAAAACCTCAAGCAGGGCCAGTTCACTCACACCCGAAACCAGCCCAAAGGGGTTACTCAGATTATCAATTACACCACAGTGGCCCTGCTGCCAATGCTGTCTTCATTATTTGAACATATTGGCCAGCATCAGTTCGGAGAAGACCTAATATGTATGTAAATTTATATCTTGGAGTTTTTTTTTTTTTAATCGAAATACCCTGTAGTACAATCAAAAACAGTAATAGCCACATCTGGGTTACTAAAACACTGTTTACATGTTAAAATGCCTTTTTTATTGCAAAACGTTATAGGTTGACATTTGTGTGATAGACACCATTCTTACAGAAATAGATCTCTGAATTACATGGACCCACAGAGAGGACCAGTAAGGTACTGGTTATAGAAAATGACTTCCACATTGTTGAAGTTTCCAAATGATCACTATTTCTACATTGCCTCTTTTCACATAAACGTTTTAATGCAGTTGAACCATATAACATGCAACAGTAAATGTTTTCAAATTATTTCTGAGTCAATGTAGATTGTTTCTCCAAGCTTGACAATGTAATAATGTGAAGACGACTGAGACAAAGTCTGTGTCTAAATAATTGGCCTTTTAGAGTGGCTCAAATATCCTCTGTTTAGAGGTTTCTGACAGTTTTTAGGGAAGCTTTAATCTTCTGTTTTGGGCTGGCATTCAGTAGTTAATAAAACTATACACAGAATGCCCAAGATTACGTGGAAAAAATACGCATGAGCTGTTTGAACTCCCCACTGCCCTGCTCAGGACATGAGCCTTTGTTGAGCAGAATCACCAACTCAGACTCGTGCATTGTCCATTCCTCAGGTGATGGGCACCTCTGTGCAAAAACTGCTGAGTTACTCAGTGGGTGCCACAACTACCAGTGGCAGAACGTTTATTTTAAATTTTGTTTTAAGAAAGCATGCTTAGTCCGGGTGCAGTGGCGCATGCCTGTAATCCCAGTACTTTGGGAGGCTGAGGTGGGTGGTTCAGCTGAAGTCAGGAGTTCGAGACCAGCCTGGCCAGTATGGTGAAACCCCGTCTCTACTAAAAATACAAAAATTAGCTGGGCATGATGGTGCACACCTGTAATCCCAGCTACTCGGGAGGCTGAGACAAGATAATCACTTGAACCTATGTGGTGGAGGTTGCAGTGAGCCAGTATTGCCACTGCACTCCAGCCTGGGTGACAGAGCAAGACTCTATCTCAAAAAAAAAAAGCAGATGTGCCTTTTGTTTAGTTATTTTTATTTGTATAAATTTACGGGTTTCAAGTACAGTTGTCTGGGCTTTTAGGGCATCCATCACCCAAATAATGAACATTGTGCCCATTAAGTAATTTCTCGTCATCCACCCCCTCCTGCCCCCTCACCCTTCTGAGTCTTGTCTATTATTCTCCTCTCTATGTCCATGTGTACACATGGTTTAGTACCCACTTATAAGTGAGGACATGTGATATTTGACTTTATGTGCCTGGCTTGTTTCACTGAAGATAACAACCCCCAGTTCCATCCATGTTGCTGCAAAAGACATGATTTCATTCTTTTTATGGATGAATAGTATATAGCCTAAACTGAATAGTACATAGCTTAAGCTTTCTCAGGACAATGTATAAATAAGTGGGTTTTTCTTTCAAGTGAGATTCTCTTTTTCCTTAGTGGAAGATGTCCAGGTGTCTTGTTATAGAATTCTGACTAGCTTATATGCTTTGGGAACCAGCAAGAGTATTTACGTGGAGAGGTAAGAATGTTTAAAGTTTAACTTTGTATTAATTGCTGCTTCAAGTTTTATAACTATTTATTTCAAGAATCTTCATTTCATAACCTGTTTCCTAGTTATAAACTAAACCGGATTGACCTTTGAAATTCCTTGGAAGTAATTAGACAATCTTTAAACAAAATAAGAATTGATATAATAAAGGACAATGGAGTTATGCAAAGAAAGTAAAGCACTAATGGTAAAGACTACACTTAATATGAAGTTTCAGCTGAGTGTTTGAGTCTTATGAAAGCACCTGCTAGTATCGTTTCTCATTATATATCAGAAATTCAAAGTAAACATGAATATGAGCAGTTATTAAACCTAGTTTTATTTTCTCATGTTCTCAAGTTTCAGGATGGAGTGGTTTGCAGTGTTAAATGATGTGAATAGGTAACATAAGAAAAGGTATCCCCAGTAAATTTAAAATAAAGAGATCACTGGCAACTTTAGTAAGAAATTTCTGTGAACCAGAGAAGAAAAACAGGGAAGTTTTTTTAAAAGGTCAGAATAAATAAAAACATATTCTGATAGAAGATTTAATTATGAATAGATATAAGTTCTCCCAAAATTAACCTGTAATTACAGTACAATTTCAGTACAGCAAATTACAGAAATTTGCTTTTTCCAACTTCACAAAATCATTCAAAAGTTTATTTCAAAGAATAAACCCATGAGACTAGCCAACGGAATTTGCAGGGGAATAAAAGAGTAATGAACAGGTACTCATTTGGCCTACCAAATATTAAAACCTATAAAGCTACAGTAGTTAAAATAGGATGACAGTTGTACATAAAAATAGCAAATTAGATCAATGGAAAAACATAATTGGGTTTACTCTGAACATTTTACATTTCTTACCTTCATTTTAAGTAAACTCAATTTTCATATTATTTTTATGGTTATGACCTATATTAAGGAAGTATAATAATTTATTGATATGTGACTTTATTTTTGACATGTTGGCTGTTTTCTGTTTTTCACTAATATATATAATGCCAGATCTATGTTCATAGATTCCATTGTATTTTTATGCTTATTTCCCTTAGCTGTATTCTTAGAATTTGGAATTATAGGTCAAAGGGTATGCCTGTATTACAGGATTACGGTACTCATTTCACTGTTTTCAGAAAATCCTTTCCATTTACATTCTCAAATTTTAGAAGTGAATGCTAATTTCCTCATTTGTTCCTTACTCAGATTATCTTTTTTTTCTTTTTAGTGCTTGTGTATGTGATAGTGAAAATATAGGATCCCTATTTATATTTTCAAATGCACTTTCCTGATTACCATCTACTTGCTATTTTTTTCATGTTTACCTTGTCATTTGTGTTTCTTTACTTTATGAATTGCCTTTTCTCATCTTGCATCTATTTTTCTATTCATGTATTGTCATGCTGATTTGTAATAATGCTTTTGTTCATTAAAATGATTAACCTCTTGCCTATTTCTCCTGTTTTTGTGAGTTTTACCATTTTTTACCTTTATATATATATAGTGCTTATATATAAAATATATACATAAAACATATATATATATATAAAATATATAAAAATTATATACAGATAGCATTTTATGACATGGTAATGTTGAATTTTTATATAATCAAATTTTATATAATTTTGACATAATCAATCAATTATTTCATGTATGTTTCTTCCCCTTAGTTTTATTATTCTGATAAGTTTAGACTACACATTTAGCAGTTAGAATTTCAAACATTTATCCTCCTAGACTTTTCATGCTTCCAGTTCTTTATATTTAACTTTATAATCCTATTGTTTGTATCCTAAATATTTGTTAAATGCCAGATACTAGGATACAGAAATAAACAAGATACTTCTCTACTCTCATAGGTTTTATATCTGGTAGAGGAAACCAAACCAAAACAAACAAGCAAACTGATAAATATTATAGTGGCAAGGTATAGTTTGTCCTATGAATAATCACACAATTTGGAGAACAAGGTAGTCGAGAATGTGTCTTTTAGAAGGCGACTTTTGAAGCTTATAACTTTTCTCTATGCAACAGAAAACAGGTAGAAGCTATATGAGGTAGGTCTGTGTCTAGTAGCTTCTGTTTTCTCAATGAAGAATGCCTTGAGTCCTAAGCCAGATGAAGGCTGAGAAAAGAAGTGTGGAAAGCTCAAGGAAAGTAGAGAATGTCTAGAATGATCATCTCTGAGATAAGAAGGGAATTTACTAGAAATATATCTGAACTTTATTTCTCTTGGGTATTATGTAGGATTCAAATTAAATTTTTAAAATCATCAACCATTTGTAAAGTAATCATTTATTAACTATTTATTTTATTCCCTGATTTAAAATAAAACCATCATGTAAAGTAATGTATTTACTAGATTACATTTAGAATTTCTATTCTGTTCTATTATTTGATTTTTTATGACTAAATCAATATCATATAGCCTGAATTGTTAGTATTTTTAAAAATATTTTAATATCTGGTTTTTCAAACCCTCTAATTCCTTCTTATTGCTGTAGCTTTTGTTTTTGTCATTGTTGTTTTTGCCTATATATTTATCTGGACAAAATTCGAGGTCACTTTTTTAGGTTCTAAATAATGTTTTGGTTTTTGGTGGCTTGTTTTTTAAGTCTTTTTTGTGCAATTAATTTTGCGGTTATAAAGTGATTGGGGAAACAAAAAAAAATTCAAAGGTAAGGAAAAGACATTTTGAAAAAAATAGATATTTACAAAAAGTTACAGTGGAACTTTTTCTAAAATATCTACAAATATAGATATTTTAACATAAGTCATCCAAAAGAAAAATTGATATTTCCAGAATGCCAACACAAATTATCAGAATCAGTCTGAGAATCACTAATTGAAACAGAATTTTAAAGTGAATTAATGAAATAAAAGGACTAGTCCAATCAGATATGAGGAAATAAGTTGACAGATAATTTTTTGCTAACAGATAATTTAGCTTTTTTTCAAATGGTGAGGATATTGCTATTGAAAGCATATGATGTTTAGCAATACAGAAATTGGATTTGGGAGTTAATTTTATTAGGACCAATATTATCATTCCTTTTAGGTTAAATTTGCTAATTGTAATATGACTTTTTTAGTTACTCACTTGGAAGACCTTAAAACATAAGCATTTTCCACTTATAGGCAACGTTCTGCATTAGGAGAATGTCTAGCTGCCTTTGCTGGTGCTTTTCCTGTAGCATTTTTGGAAACTCATCTGGACAAACATAATATTTACTCCATCTACAATACCAAGTCTTCACGAGAAAGAGCAGGTAACACAGAAACATGTGCAGTGCTTTGAGATATGAAGCTAAAACTTGATATTTATCATATTGTCCAATAGTGATTTTTAATGAGCTCTTTCAGTTTACTATATCCAATCTTGTTTGTTCTTAAATGTTATTGTTTGGTATTCTATGTGATGTACCCTGTGATAGATGAGGGAGATATGATACATATAGGGCAGCAATCAGAATATGTGGTAATTCAAGAGCAAGGTGACTGAGCAGGCCCCTTGGACAGCGTGTATGTGTGTTGATTGTGAGAGCTCCTAGAGGTAGAGTCATCTTGTGTGGCAGATGAGGGAGTATCGCAGCCTAGACGTAATCCCAGGTTTCTCTTCTGGGTGACTGACTGGATAATGTCCCCACCAAGTTAGGGCATGCTCAAGATAGGCTGGAGAGAAAAAGAGAAGTTTAAATTTAGATCCATCGTGTTTTAGTTGTGCTTGAGACATCCAGGATGAGTCAGAACAGTTTTTAAGAAACATGGCTTTACAGATATTAGCTTATAGCAGAAAGAATGGCCAAAATTGTCTAGATGAACATGCAAACCAAAAAAGAGAAGAGAATCAAAGATAGATTCCTAAAGATAATCAGCATTTGAAAGTTCAGCAAGGGCTGGGCGCAGTGGCTCATGCCTGTAATCCCAGCACTTTGGGAGGCCGAAGTGGGTAGATCACGAGGTCAGGAGTTCAAGACCAGCCTGACCAACATAGTGAAACCCCGTCTGTGCTAAAAATACAAAAATTAGCCGGGCGTGGTGGTGTGTGCCTGTAATCCTGGCTACTCAGGAGGCTGAGGCATGAGAATCGCTTGAACTGGGGAGGCAGAGTTTGCAGTGAGCCAAGACTGCGCCACTGCACTCCAGCCTGGCAACAGAGCAAGACTCTGTCTCAGCAGCAACAACAAAAAAAGTTCAGCAAGGAGAAGAGAGTCAGTAAGGACACTGACAACATTCAGAGGGAGCCAAAAAGGCTGGGCACATTGATGTTAAGAAAGAAGGGAGTTTTAGGAAAAGGGAATTTGGTCCTGGGTATGAAATGCCACTGAACGGTTGGAAAGATGAGTTGTAAAAGTGCAATTTTGCTGCACAGTGAAAAGCAGCTTTGTTCCTGAGGACGGAGAGTGCCTGGATAGCTAAGTAATCCAGGAAAGATTTGAGTATCTTGCTGGGTAGGAGGTATTACAGGGCTGAAAATACAGGTCTGAGCAAGGCATCAGGTATTTGGTGGAGCCGTGAGTGGGGGACTTCAAAACTTCCTCGAAAACGGGGAATGGAGGCCAAGGTGGAGCCAGTCATAAATGGCTTGTAGGTCATGAGAGCAGCAAAGTTAGAGGAGGAAATATTTGATACTATTGTTTGCTGTAAAGTAGGAGGAATGGCTGTTTTCTGGGAGTGATGGTACAGTAGGAACTTAGGGGAAAGAGAGAAGCTTTGAAATAGCTACCTTGAAACACAGGAGAAGGAGCCAGTTGCAGGCATGCCACGTCTTGCTAAATTTTGAAGTCCAAAATGAAATAGTTGCCTGTGGAAATCCGCCATATCATCTCAGTACTTTCTTTGAATATCATCCATTTTTATATGTACTTCTCCAGCTCTCAGTTTGCCAACTAATGTGGAAGATGTTTGTCCAAACATACCGTCTTTGGAGAAACTCATGGAAGAAATCGTGGAATTAGCCGAGTCCGGCATTCGCTACACTCAAATGCCACATGTCATGGAAGTCATACTGCCCATGCTTTGCAGCTACATGTCTCGTTGGTGGGAGCATGGACCTGAGAACAATCCAGAACGGGCCGAGATGTGCTGCACAGCCCTGAACTCAGAGCACATGAACACACTTCTAGGGAACATATTGAAAATCATATATAATAACTTGGGGATTGATGAGGGAGCCTGGATGAAGAGGCTAGCAGGTAAGAACTGGAAGAAGACATTGTACCCCTGAAATCTGTTTTATTTCCAAAAGAATTTTAAATACATAAACTAGAATTTTCCCATCACAATTTTTATTAATATTTTCTTTACTCAAAAATATTAGTATTTGTCATGCTATTTTTTAATGTAGATAAAAACAGGCATTGGGTATATGTTAAATAGTTACTACTTTTAAGTAAACATTTTTCTGACTTGTCAATCTCTGTAAGATTAATCAATAAACACAGCAGTAAAAACTAATGATTTTATAGCCAGAGACAAAAATAAAACATTCAACTTTTAGCAATCCACTTGTAGCCATCTGTTATATAGAGAATGTGAAGAGAAGGGAGGGTAAACCAAAAAAATGTAGTCTAATGTCTACAATTATTGCATTATTTGTATTGAAAAGTTAGAAGCAATCTAAGTACCCAATAACCAGAATATGGCTAAATAAGTTGTATACATCTACATGCCAGAATATTATGTCATATTTTGTTTTTTGTTTGTTTGTTTATGAGATGGAGTTTCACTCTTGTTGCCCAGGCAAGAGTGCAATGGTGAGATCTTGGCTCACTGCAACCTCCGCCTCCCGGGTTCAAGTGATTCTCCTGCCTCAGCCTCCCGGGTAGCTAGGATTACAGGCATCTGCCACCATGCCCAGCTAATTTTTTTTTTTTTTTTTTTTTTTAGTAGAGATGGGGTTTCACCATGTTCGCCAGGCTGGTCTCGAACTCCTGACCTCAGGTGATCCACCCACCTCGGCCTCCCAAAGTGCTGGGATTACAGGTGTGAGCCACCACGTCTATGTCATCTTTAAATGTTGAAGTTTCAACAATATTTTATGCCCTGGAAATACTCATATTATGAAGGGAAAAATGGAGAATTTTTAAAACAATGAATTCAGAATGTTATATGTATAATATATATGTAAATGAATTTATCTACTGATGAAAACTCCAGAAAAATGCAGCAATGACTTATTAATTTGGGTAGATGATTATGGTTGACTTTAACTTTTCTCTTGTATACTTTTCCCCAGTGCATATATGTTACTTTCAGGGGGAAAAAAGTCATTTTAAAAATGGCCCAATCAAGTTTAGAACTATTATTAACAACTATGGTTATTATTAAATAAGAGAGCAGTGTTCCATATAATCTAACTCTTCCATTGTGCCAAGGATGGGGATAGTTAAAATGAGATAACTGTATATAGTCTCATATAGTAATTATGTAGCAGAGCTTGTCCCTATTCTAAGGGTTAGGGGAACCTTTTCCATTTGGGAATTTTATTTCTTGTGTGAAAATGATTTCCAAAATGAGTGAAAGTCTTTTTTTTCATTCTAAATTAGCTATCTATTCTAAAAACAAGGAAGATCGTTGAATTCAACTCAGTAAACATTTTTTTAATGGCAGCTATGCAATTAGAACTTGGACTAGAAAAATGGCTGAGGCATGAGCTGTACCCTTAAGGAAGTCATGTGCTGGAGAAGGAGGCTTTAATTATGTTACAATTGTAATTACAATCTATCATCATGTTAATGAATGGTTTTACAGAGCAGAATACTAATGTCTGTCTTTAAACAGTGTTTTCCCAGCCTATAATAAATAAAGTGAAACCTCAGCTCTTGAAAACTCATTTCTTGCCGTTAATGGAGAAACTCAAGAAAAAGGCAGCTACGGTGGTGTCTGAGGAAGACCACCTGAAAGCTGAGGCCAGGGGGGACATGTCGGAGGCAGAACTCCTCATCCTAGATGAGTTCACCACACTGGCCAGAGATCTCTATGCCTTCTACCCTCTCTTGATTAGATTTGTGGACTATAACAGGTATGATCAAAAGTAATTTAGTAATTTCTCCAATTCGGTCATAACGTTTCTTGGCTCACATGTCCTTGTTCAATCGCTTCATTCACTATTTTGCCATGAGCTTGTTGGTAATTATAATTAACTGTTTATAGGCAAGTTAATTTTTGGCTTAAAATTAAAACACCTTAAAATCAAAGTTGGCCGTTTCATTCTGATTTTGCATGTAAAAGTTAACAGTTTGACAGTTATGATGTTTAAATTTTTTTTTAAATATTACAACACTGTGCTGAAACCATCATGAGCTCTGTGGTCAGTACATTTAACTTTGGGGGGATGGTTTTTTTTTTTTAAATTAACTTTAAGGAGTAGCTGAGAAACCACTTTATTTATTATGTGATCCAGGGCAAAGTGGCTAAAGGAGCCTAACCCAGAAGCAGAGGAGCTCTTCCGCATGGTGGCTGAAGTGTTTATCTACTGGTCGAAGTCCCATGTGAGTGTGAAAATATTGATAGATCACGCCTACTGTTTGTAGGCACCTGCTTACTTGCCTCCTAGGTTTCATGTAACAGTTGAGGAGAGAGAATAGGTTCCCCTGAGGAGTTTGAGGGAATATAAACCTTCTTCTGAGTTTTGCAATTTATCCTTTAAAAAAATCACAGGGATTTTTAATTGCACTCCATAAACATATTTTAAATTTGCCCCTAAATTTTGGACTAATATTGACATTGCATAAAGATGTACTATTTTTACTATCTAGCTTTCCCTATCTCTTGGCATTTTGTTCTCTTAATTTGCAGTTCTCAGTTTGAGACGTGCTTAAATAGACTAGCAATTTCCAACAATAACCCACACTCATTTTACTTGTAAAGGTACTGCTTCCATAAATTTGTTTTATCTTCACACACTTTACACCTAAGGAATTTAGTTTGGCTCACATTTTAGAATCTGTTGGGTTTTAAAATAAAGCTTCTTTCTACTGACAATCCTGTTGATAGAATTTCTAAAGTACGTATTTGGTGAATTTTCACTATTTTGTGTATTGCAAGTGGAACTATGTATTTTTAAACCTGGAAAAGATTTTAATCATAACAATCGTATAGTAGTCTATCATTATTTCAGTAACTAGCAGAATATAGATAAAAGAGCATTGATGATTATCCTGAATTATTTTAAAAATTTAGAATTTTTATATCAATTATAATTCTATGCCACTCTGTAAATGAGAGACAAAGAAAATAAAAATTTCAACCTCAGTTTTATCATCTGAGATATCTTACCAGTTTACTTAATCAGACTGTTGTACAAATCAAGTTACTTTGAATACATAATATTTTTTAAATATGCATATTTAATATTTGGGATGACAAATATTATTTATTGCCTACATCTGAGGAGTCTGTCAAACTTAATAGCAAACTTTATATAAAAACATACATTAAAAACATAATCACTCAGAAAGGATATATGAAATAATGGCTGCTTAACATGCAACTTTGTATCTTCACAAAGATACAAATTTATTTATCCTGTGTAACTCATGTTTGGGGGATGCAATAGATCATCCAAGGTATTCTGAAGGAAAATTCAAAATCCACTGTAAAAAGATAAATAGATTAGGTATGTAGATAGATAGATAGATAATGCATGCCCGGTGACAGGTGGGAGCATTGCTTGAGCTCAGGAGTTAGAGGCTGCAGTGCCCTATCATTGCACAGCTGCATCCCAGCCTGGGTGACAGAGCCAGACCCTGTCCCTAAATACATACATGAATGAATGTATAAATAAATGAATTCCAGAAGAAATCAGTCCATTTTGAGCTGCCAAAAAACAAAGATGAATTTTTGCTTTTTGCCTGTTGTTTTCCCTGTTGGGTTACTTCACTTAGAATGCCTCATGGGAAAATAGGGGGAGCCCAGGAAAAAATTACTAAAAACTGCATATTTTTATTTGAAGAACTGAAACTCTTCAGTTTCCTCGATCATTAAAATGCCGAAGAAGCGTCTTTAGATTTAGGTACAAGACTAAAGTTTGGAACAAGAGTATTTATCATAATCAGTATGTTTTCAGATGAATGTCTAATCATACTTTCAAGAATAAGCAAAAATATCTGAATATGTACTTTTGAATCTCATGGGCATATATTAATATAAACATAAATTGGCTAATGTGTTATGTTTTTCCCCAAATATTTAAAGATAAATTGATTTTGCCAGTCTTTTTATGTTCCCAAATTAAAAGGGAATAAATAATGATATGGTATTTTAAAAACAGGTAAAAAATCTGACAGAATAGAAAGTTACGTCATAGTTCTATGTGTCCTCGGAAAGTCTATGTTAATCTCAGGAATCAGTATATGCCTTTCACCAGCTAACCAGGCGTTTGAATATTCATTCTACTCCTTGGTAAACATGTGATCTTGCAATGAAATTTTCTGAATCTTAGTTTTCCCATCTTTGCAATGTGCATATTCATATCTAGTTCACAGAATTCTTGCTTCTAGCCAAGTACCCTCATTAGATACTCAAGAAATACTTGTATCCTTTTTTGATAATTCTTATATATCAAATTAATACTTATCTCTGTAAAAACTTGCAGGTTCTGTGTAACCTCTAATTACAAAGACTTCTTTAAGTGGTTTTAACTGAAATTTCCTTTGCAACTTCTCAGAATTTCAAAAGAGAAGAGCAGAACTTCGTTGTACAGAATGAAATCAACAATATGTCTTTCCTTATTACTGATACCAAGTCAAAGATGTCAAAGGTATTACTATAAACTGTTTCACTGTTCTGGAAAATATCTGAATGTGACTTTCATGAATTGACTTTTTTTTTTTAGATTTTCGAAGATTTGTAACTGGAATCTGACAGATTTGGTAATGTTATAAATTGGTTCAAATATGCAAGCTGTTTTAAGGTTACTGGAATTTGTTTGAATCAGGCATGGTAAGACATGCAGACGGGAAATGACTGTCATGAAGGAAGACATTTCTACTGACAGATCCCTGGAAACAGGAGGCATGGCATGCCAGGCAGGGCCCCCCGGGGAGAGGTCAGGGTCAGTCAGGAGGTAGAGAGAGCAAGGAGAAGACGTGGGCGAGAGCTTGCCTCGTGGTCTCCACTGGAAGGAATGGACAAGGCAGGGCAAACAGGTTTCTGATTGGCTAATTTGAATACTTTTCAGGGGCTCCACATCATAGGGCCTGTCCTTGGCTGCCTGGTACCTAGTCCCAGAGTGATTAGAGCAGGTGGATAGTAGCCCAGAGTATAAGAGCCCGATAGGTGAGGCAGGGGTCAGTGTGGGCTCTGGGTTGGTTGACTTGTATATGAAAAGCAAGCTCCCCAAACCAAGGAAGCCATTTCCTTCTCTAGGACTTGCCTAACGATGGGAGGGACTGCTGTCTCCCCAGGATCAGCAAATCTCCAAGATGTCAGAGCAACAGAATAAAGACATGCTTCACACACACACACTCACACACACACACACGCACCCCCCACTCACCAAAAGTCAGTATAATGTATGTTTAACATGTCAACACTATGTGTCCATCAAGTGTGAATATTTGTGTGCTTATGTGTACCAAAGAAACAGACCTCAAAATAAATTCGCTGCATTATTTAAAAGCCACATGGACGAATTCCAGGTTCTCACACATGAAGTGGGAAGTATCTTTCCAGATTTTTGTTTTCTCTGTCACTCGTATTGGGGAGGGGAGTAGCTTCCATTTAAAGCATTTTAAAGGGGCTTTATATGTTTAATTCCTGCTAAATGAGAAATAAATATATTACATGTGGTAACATTTGGCTGCCAAATGGCCAAAGATCCAAAAATGACTGCTACTCAGGCAGAGCAAATTAGCCTCTACTGACTCAATAAATTCTGGCAACAGAGTAGCTTAGGTACACCCACTCCACTGACCTCCAAAAGTCACCGGATCCTCAGGCCTGCTCTGTGATCTGTCACAAGGGAAGTAGAATGGTATTGCTTGGTAGGCCTAGTCTTGTTTAAGAGTTTTGAATGCCCTGTGTTTGACCCGACAGCACATGAACTAGAAGCTAATGCCAGAAGTCTGTGTATTCCTGTACAGATACCCTTTTCCCTCTTTTCCATCAGTTGAGTCCAGTGATTCTCAAAGATACTCTCAAAGCACTACATGTCATAGAACCTAGAGTGAGACATGCATAAAGATGACTGATTATAACACAGTTTGCTCTTATTTGCAAGAAGAAAAAAGGGGAGTAATAGATAAGAACCTCTCAATTTTAACATTTCTGACCCACAAATTTTCTCAAACTAAAAAATTATTTTTTTGTTTTTGTTTTTGTTTGTTTTGTTTTTTTGAGACGGAGCCTTGCTTTGTTGCCCAGGCTGGAGTGCAGTGGTGCGATCTCGGCTCACTGCAACCTCTGCCTCCTGGGTTCAAGCGATTCTCCTGCCTCAGCCTCCCAAGTAGCTGGGACTATACAGGCGCATGCCACCATGCCCAGTTAATTTTCGTATTTTTAGTAGAGACAGGGTTTCACCATATTGGCCAGGCTGGTCTCAAACTCCTGACCTCGTGATCTGACGGCCTCGGCCTCCCAAAGTACCTGGATTGCACTCCAGCCTAGGCAACAAGAATGAAAATCCATCTCAAAAAAATATATATAGATAGATAGATAGGTAGATAGCATTTATTACAAGTTCTCTGTGTTTATTTGTGGGTGTGAGAAAGGTGGGTTTTGCCTGTTGCATTATACAATTGTACTCTGTTTTTTTCTTAAGATTTCATTTCCTGTTGAAATGTAATCACAGGCCTTGGACATTTAAAGCTAGGCTAATTTTTATAATTACTATATCTAAAATACAAAAAAGTATCTTTTTATAGGTTTTTTTTTTTGGTAGGCTATTTCATTGTGGGAATATTAGAAAATTTTTTGTAAGTTCCCACAGAAAGGTCATGTGATAAATACAACCAATTAAAACTGTGCTTTCTGTTCATAATGTGGCAAAGGAAAGAGCTTGGCTTTCAGAGGCAGATCAGCCTGGAGTGCTGACTCTGCCACTTCATAATCCCTTCACTCATCTTAAACCTCACTGTTCGTAGCAGCAAAATGTTTGTCATGCTGCTTACCTTGATGGAGGCTTGTAAAATCAGAATAATGTGTGTGTTGTGCCTCACAGATTATAGGCATGCAACAAATTTTAATAGATATGAATTGTAGTAACAAAATGATAAAGTTAAAATACAGCTGAATATCTAACAATCATATAGTTAATAAGTACTTAGAAAACGTACGAGAGAAAGAAACTGATAGGATAGTCAAAGATGTCAGAGGTAAGTGAGGATTTGAATAGGTCTTGGAAAATGAGTCTTTTCTAGATGGGTCATAAGGAGAGAGGGTGGAGGAGCCTGCTGATAACCCATTTTATGCAGCCATAGCACTGTTTTTGCTCAAATCTAACAGTATATTTGAAGAAGAGTCTGTTTGATGTCTTTCTTGCCATTTTCCTGGTCCACTATTAAATTTAAAGCTATTTTCTGTGAAATTGTTACAATCATATTTGTATGTTTGTGGGTGTGTGAGAGACAGAGATAGAGAGGAGGCAGAAGCAGAGGTTGATTGATTGATTGATTAAAGAAAGGGCTCAAGTGGCTGGGTGCGGTGGCTCACGCCTGTAATCCCAGCACTTTGGGAGGCCAAGGCAGATGGATCACGAGGTCAGGAGTTCAAGACCAGTCTGGCCAAGATGGTGAAACCCCATCTCTACTAAAAATACAAAAAAAAAATTAGCCAGGCGTGGTGGTGGGTGCCTCTAATCCCAGCTACTTGGGAGGCTGAGGCAGAGCATTACTTGAACCCAGGAGATGGAGACTGCAGTGAGCCGAGATCACACCACTGCACTCCAGCCTGGTGACAGAGCGAGACTCCATCTCAAAAAAAAAAAAAAAAAAAAAAAAAAAAAAAAGGGCTCAGGTGATTGATTTAAGAAAGGGCTCAGGTTAGTCCACTTCCCTTCTTAAATATGCCCACATATGGGCCATGTTATTACATCTTCATATCTGATCCAAATGCACAGATTGAAAATGAAAAAGTGTGCAAATTCATTAGCTTTAGCGGCTCTGTTTAAATTATTGAGCTGCGCCTATGAGCAAGGCACAGTGCGTGGCTTTGAATACAGAGAAACGACAAAACAGGTTTGGCAGCTGCCCCAAAGGAGCTGCATAGTTTGGGGAGGAAATAGGCACTAAACAAATGAACAAAAAATACCCAATATGTGCGTACAGGAGGATATTTTATTGCTTATAGATTTAATTTCCTCATATGAACAGTGACATCACCCATAAATGTTCAAATATTTACTACTCTTTCCAGTTATAGATTTCTTCTGGGGTGGAAAGCAAAATTATTGTTTGTGTATAAGTAGGAATTCATTTGCCTAGTGTTACTCAAAATTGAGCAATTTGTAGATGTGTTTAGTGTTGATTATTTTTATTATAAGCTCACAAATATTTATAAATATTAAACCAGATATAAGCTCCTTCTGCCTATACAACCATAAAACCAAAAGAACTTTACAGGTTAAAATCAATGAAAACTCTAACACCAATAAATTTAGACTAAGAAAACTCCAAACCAATACAATTTAGACTAAGAAAACTCCAAACCAATACAATTTAGACTATATTGGGGATGTCGCTTTGCTGAAACTAAATTACCGGTATTGGATAGAAGTATGTTTGTATAATTTATATCAATTTGCTTAATTTTTAGGATAGTGGTTCTTCCTTTGGGCAATTATTTTTATCATTTTAGTTATGTTGTCCTTTGAACAAAGAGCCCATTTTAAATGATCCATTTTTTAATGAATGAGTCAATTTAACAGTACAAATTATTCATCATATTTTTTCTAATAAACTTACTGAGAATAATCTCTTACAAGTTGGTATGTATAAAAATGGGATTCATGCAATAAGCATATCTTTTTGGAACAGAAGTATAATTCTTACTGCTATGGTTCAGAAGATTATAGGTTTAATATAACACTTCAATATGTAGTTTAATTATTACATAATTGTATATTTTATAACGTAATATATAAGCTATCATTGCTATATGGTGACTCACTTGTTTCACTACTTTCACTATGGTAAAAATGTCTTTCAACCTCATGCTATGATACACTTTACCTTCTGTTAAGTAAAACAAATCATTTGTATATTAAATTCTATTATGTTTTTTCTCAATAGCCCAAGACTATTACAATGTATTTATATTTATAAATATTAAAATATTTTTCATTATCATTTCATTATCACGAAACTATGTTGTAACTTTGAATTACTGCTACAAAATATTCAACATGCACAAATAAGTGGATGTGGGACAATTATTTTAATTTTGACATTAGAACATGCCATCTTGATAGAATACTCATTACCCAGTGAAAATTAGATTCTGTCGTTTAAGGTGACCCTGTGTTACTAGCATAAGCCTCAAAAACATCACAAGAGAGCCCTTGAGTAACATGGCAGTATTCAGTTGTAAACTGGTTATCCAGATCGTCCTGAATATTTATGAAACTCCAATGAGTATATTACTTCTATTTCTACTAGACGGGGACTGAGGCTCTAGGAAGACAAGTTTGCAGACTGTATAAAAGAAAAATGCATTTTATAATTGTTCTGATATATTAGACCACACACACACACACACACACACACACACCATATACATGTATATATATTTCAAAGCAAGCATTTGTCAAAACAAAAATAAGCCCTTTATTCTTATATTTCTTAAGCATTGAAAATTAGAAAGCACACAATATCTGAAATTACTATAGAATTTTTTATATATTTATCTGCTTCCCTAAAATTACAATTTTCATTTGTCTTCTAAAAATTACGTGGGAATGCATACCAGTGAATTATAATGACCTAGGAATCTGAGGGTAGGACTTGAAATCAGCAAAAGATACTAAGAAGGGAAGAGAAAAATTATTCTCAAAACAGGAGGATTTTCAAAACTAGGGAGCAGCAGAAAATGAGGAAGATGAAGTGACAAGTTAGGGAAGAGTCATAGTGGTTCTACATGTGAGAAAAGCAGGTTCAGATCCCAGCACTTCTCTTTGTTCCATAGGCAGCTGTTTCTGATCAGGAAAGGAAGAAAATGAAGCGCAAAGGAGATCGGTATTCCATGCAGACCTCTCTGATTGTAGCAGCTCTGAAGCGGTTACTGCCCATTGGGTTGAACATCTGTGCCCCTGGGGACCAGGAGCTCATTGCTCTGGCCAAAAATCGATTTAGCCTGGTAAGTCTCCTTTTCATCCCAGCGGTAATGATCATCTGACCTCCAGACTCTCAGTGTTTGATTCCTTTGTCTCACTGCCCTATGTCAATATTTCATTTGCATTACATGTTTTATTAAGCAGGTTTTCTAGACAGGCCCAAGACTCAAACATAAAGACTGCTCTTTTTTTGAGGCTGTTTTTATTTGTAAGTTATGTTAATCACCTCCGGGACACATTCAAGAACCAAACAGGAAAGACACAAACCAATCTCTGGTAGTGAAAAAAATGGATTTCATATAAACTTCTATATAAAGTTTGTGATGAGAAGCATACTCAAATTTATGAAGGGTGATTTTTCAATGTTAAAAGCATAATATATTGTGCCAACTGTGGGTAGATAAGGTGTTGACTTTTAAATCAGCTGCTGTTCTCCTCTGCAAGATTTAAGTTCCTCTGCAAGATTTAAGTTCTCAAGATTTTACAATGTCCTCTGAGTTTCTGTTCTTCATAGCTATGCAAATGAGGATGCAATATTTTGTACATTGGAATTTCTATTTTATATTTATGTAAATTGGAGGACATATTCTCCATTCCACATTGAATCACTGAAGCTCGTCACTGAACATGCATCGTTTGACATTCTAAAATGAGTGAATTGAGGGGAAGCTGTGGGAGTGGGCTGCATCACGCAGCTCTACTGGCAGTTCTCTAGAGTTTGATTCTCAGTTGCATTTTCCTTGCTATTACTGGGTCATGGAGGATGTTATTAAGGGCTAAAATGACTTCGTGGAGATTTGGAAGAATACTGGAGATATACTTCTATTTCAGCCCAAGAAAACATGCTATGCCCCCTTCTTCTTATGAATTGGAAACTTGATTCCATTGAATTTCAATGTCCTTACTGTGGAGGTAAAGCAGGTCATTACCTTGCTTCAGGCTACAGCAGTACCAAGAAATTATTTGAATGAGAATGCCCCAAATTTGTAGCATGTAATTTTATAAAGATGTTTCTCAGACGTATACTATTTCAAAAAAGGTTTGGATTGTTTCTATTGACTTGTGACAGTTGATGCAATAGAAGACTCCTTTTAGGTAACATATATTTCTTGACAGAAAGATACCGAGGATGAAGTACGAGATATAATCCGCAGCAATATTCATTTACAAGGCAAGGTAAGCCAAATTTTATTCTTAAGCCACATTTACTACCTATACATTAGTTAATCTCTCTTTAAAATAATACTATAAATAATGTTACTTTAAACATTAAGGTAATAGACATATTTTAATTAGTCATTATCCTACTTGCAAAGCCTTTTGTATTAAAAATTCTAAAGATAATAAATGATATATTTTTAAAGAAAATTACCAGAGATTGTCAAATTTTGGAAAAAATATATGTCATCAGTTGAAATACAGATTGGATGTATTCTTTTTTAATTATTATACTTTAAGTTTTAGGGTACATATGCACAACATGCAGGTTTGTTACATATGTATACATGTGCCATGTTGGTGTGCTGCACCCATTAGCTCATCATTTAGCATTAGGTATATCTCCTAATGCTGTCCTTCTTGATAGAGGAGTTTTAGGGTCTTTTGGACGTAGAGAAGGTGTCTATAAGAAAATGTTGGCTAGGCACAGTGGCTCACACCTTTAATCCCAACAGTTTGGGAGGCTGAGGCAGGCAAATCACTTGAGCCCAAGAGTTTGAGCCTGGGCAACATGGCAAAACCCCGCCTCTACAAAAAGTACAAAAATTAGCTGGATGGTGGTGCACACCTGTAGTCCCAGCTACTTGGGTGGCTGAGGTGGGAGGATGGCTTGAGCCTGGGAGGTGGAGGTTGCAGTGAACCAAGACCGTGCCACTGCACTCCAGCCTAGACAACAAAGGGAAACCCTGTCTCAAAAAACACAAAATTTACATGGAGCGATCAGTAATTAAATATATATTTTTAAGAGTCGTTAGTCTATAGGTGAATTAGGCCATTTTTGCTTTACTATATAGAAATATCTGAGACTGGGTAATTTAGGAAGAAAAGAGGTTTAATTGATTCACGGTTCTGCAGGCTGTACAGAAAGTATAACACGGGCATCTGCTTTTGGGGAGGTTCCAGGAAGCTTAAAATCATGGCAGATGGTGAAGGAGAGGCAGGCATCTCGCCTGGCAGGAGCAGGAACAAGAGCAGTGAGGAGGGAGGTGCCACACACTTAAACAGCCAGATCTCACGAGAATCTTGAGGGCAGCACCAAGGGGATGCTGCGAAGCCACTTATGAAAGTTTTGCCCCGTGATCAACTCAGCTCCCACCAGGCCCCGCCTCCAACACTGAGGATTACATTTCCACATAAGGCTGCTAAACCACTTATGAAAGTTTTGCCCCATGATCAACTCAGCTCCCACCAGGTCCCGTCTCCAACACTGAGGATTACATTTCCACATAAGGCTGCTAAACCACTTATGAAAGTTTTGCCCCATGATCAACTCAGCTCCCACCAGGTCCCGTCTCCAACACTGAGGATTACATTTCCACATGAGATTTGGGCAGGGACACAGATCCACACTATATCAATAGGCTATATCGAGATTTGCAGCAATAGGAATAAGTGAGTTTACCTAAGGAGAAGAGAAGCGTGTACAGTTGGAATAAAAACATGGATGGAAATCGATAGAACACCTACTTTTTAATGGTGGGTGAAAGAATTGTTAGAAGTAGTTTTGGCAATCCAGTGACCATTTACTATTATTTGGAAATTTTTTATACCATTGAATAAATTATTCATTTGTTTATAAAACCTGTGATGCAGTTTTAAAAGTCAAGCTAGTATTTTGACTCAGCCTGTTGTCTTCTATTCTGGGTGTCCCTTCTGAGGAATTTTTTTTAATTATGAAAATACGCAAATGTCAAAAAGTAGCAACAACAATATAATATATGCCTTTCTGGGTATTAAAATGTCTCTTTCCAAAGATCCAAATCATATGATTTTTAAATTAGCATTTTAAAGAATAAGATAAAGGTGAGACATGCCTTTACCATATTCACAATGCACAAGTATTCATTCAGAGCAAATTTCATGTGAAGTTTGATGTGTACTCAGTTGTTTACTAACAATTCTTTTAGAGTGAGATTAATTACTATTAGAGTATGATCTCTTTTCAGATAGCCAGAAGAATTTGAACATTTTTTTAAAAGTTTATAAAGCCTCTATTGGAACTTCAGAAGAAAAGTTTACACTACAAACATTTTTCCCCTATAGGGAGAGACACTAAATGTTTTTATGTACATGGGTATTTGAGAAGATCAGGTACCCCATGAAAGGGTGCAGGGGATCCCCAGGGGACCCTAGACCATACCTGGAGCACCATTATCTAGTTCAACAATTACTGAGTTAGAGACAGAGAGTGCTCAGTACCTCTTAAGAGGAGTCTGGGCCAATCTCAAGAAATGGTCAAATAAAGGTGGTTATGATTATAAGCAGAAAGAAGTTTGTCCATTATATTCTAAAGGTCACTTGTAAGAATATTTTGGACAGTTTAGATGACGTATTCAGGAGACAGGAAGAAGGAAGAGAGCAAAAAAGGAAACATTGATTGTCCATATTTCACCTCCAAATGAATAAGACCTGAAAATAAAGAGGTAATGAATAAATATTCATCTTGTCATTTTATTCTACACTTTCTTAAACTAGGAGTTAGGCAGGCATATTAATGAGATACACAGATTTTCAAAAAATGAATTTTTTTATTCCTAACTTCTTGAATACATTGTCTTGAAATTGTAGGGCTGTTCATCCTGAGGCCAGAGGAGTAATTTTATGTTAGAATAAAGATTCTACTTTATTAATTATGTATTAAATAGAACTAAGAGTACAGATTAAAACCTGTAAGTATCAAACATAGTCCTCAGACTTAAAAAGTAAACGGATGAAAACATTTTATTTTATCAAAGGATAAGTAGTCTTTACAAATCATTTATCCCTATACAAAGCTCTATCTGTCTGTGTTTGCCTGTAGATGAAAATTATTTCTGACATTTTAACTAGGCACTCTCAGTCTGGGAGTTGTGAAGTTTTAGATGTCATCTATTTATTTCTGCTTCATAACATTCAGTCTCCCATTTCTAATGGAGATTCTAAAGTAGAAGACAAGGGGATTGCTTTGTCCGTTTTTTGTTTGTTTGTTTTTTGAGATGGAGTCTCACTCTGTCACTCAGACTGGAGGGCATTGGTGCAATCTCGGTTCACTGCAACCTCCACCTCCTTGGGTTCAAGCGATTCTCCTGCCTCAGCCTCCCGAGTAGCTGTGATTACAGGCGTGCACCACCACACCCAGCTAATTTTTTGTATTTTTAATCGAGAAGAGGTTTCACCATGTTGGCCAGGCTGGTCTCAAACTCCTGACCTCAAGTAATCCACCCACCTTGGCCTCCCAAAGTGCTGGGATTACAGGAGTGAGCCACCGTGCCCGGCTGCTTTGTCCATTTTTAATAACATACTTATTCTATATTATTTCTTTGAACTGATATGTTCTACCCCCATTAAATTGCTTGCTTTTGTCAATTTCTATGACTTATAATAATGTTTCTAAACACATGAAGATTTCATATACGTTTTTCACCAAGGAAATTTGATGCTATTGAAAAGTAAAATGTGTAGACTCCTTTATGATGAGTGTGATTTTAAAAACATCTATTGATTTATATAATTTAATATCTTTGCCTCAGTGAAATTAAGCGCTGTTGTAGAGTCCAAATATTTATAGGTAAATGCTATCCTATATCCTTGCCCATAAAAGTAAACATAGAAATCTTTCTACAATTAGACTGTGAATGGGGAGGAGAAGAGCATGGGTAGCCTTACCCATTTTGTTTTCCAGTTTCCCACTCATCCTTAAGCCCTAGTTACAACGTCTTGTGTTAAGGGAAATCTACCCAACCACCAAAGAGTATGATAAATCTCACGGTATTTTATATTTTGTTTTAGTAGCCCTTATCACAATTTTAAATATTTGTTTAATGTCTGTCTTCTCTACTAGATGATAAATTTCATGATGACCAGGACTTTATCTGTCTTTCTTAGTATTTTTAATTTTTTTTTTTTTTTGAGATGGAGTCTCGCTCTGTCGCCCAGGCTGGAGTGCAGTGGCGCGATCTCGGCTCACTGCAAGCTCCGCCTCCCGGGTTCACGCTGTTCTCCTGCCTCAGCCTCCCGAGTAGCTGGGACTACAGGCGCCCGCCACCACGCCTGGCTAATTTTTTGTATTTTTAGTAGAAACGGGGTTTCACCGTGTTAACCAGGACGGTCTCGATCTGCTGACCTCATGATCCGCCCACCTCGGCCTCCCAAAGTGCTGGGATTACAGGCGTGAGCCACCGTGCCTGGCCAATATTTTTAATTTTTAATAATTGTATATAGTTAAGGTGTCCAACAGGATGTTTCAATATACATAAGCATAGTCACATGATTAGTGTAGTCAGACAAATTAGCATATCTATCTCCTCGCATAGTTACCTTTTGCCTGTATGTGCTAAGAGCTCCTGGAATCTACTCTCAGCAAATTTCCAGTATGAATTGCAGCATTATTAACTGTAATCACCATGCTGTACATTAGATCTCCAGACCTGTTCATCCTACATAACTGCAGCTGCGCGTCATGTCTTAACTGGTAAACACTGTAAAGCCCAATAAATAATGATGGGTGGACTCTTCCTATCTTTAGATTGTAACCTTGTTTTTAGATTCCCATCTTCCCATTGTAACCTTTTCCTTTTTTCTGCAGTTGGAGGATCCTGCTATTAGATGGCAAATGGCTCTTTACAAAGACTTACCAAACAGGACTGATGATACCTCAGATCCAGAGAAGACGGTAGAAAGAGTATTGGATATAGCAAATGTGCTTTTTCATCTTGAACAGGTCAGGCTTTGTGTCAATTCAATCATATTTGCCTTAGCCACATACAAATATTTTAAAAAGAGAATGTGTGTTAATTTGTTAACTATGACCCAAGAAACATATATGTTCAGCATATTCATTCTAAAGAATAAGAGTCCGGTGTGCTTAGTATTTCATAAAGACAATTTCTAAGCTTACAAATCTTGTAGCAATATATAGATTATATATTTTGGGAGATCCTGGCCTTTGTTTTGTTGTCTTTTTTCAAATATTTCTGAAAGTATTAGGATTATATTTTTAAATTATTCTAACCAAAAAATTCAGGAGTTACATCTGATTTCAAATACTTTATGCATACTTCATTTTTTAATATTGCTCATAAAAACATGTTTGAGATATTATCTTTTACCGGTTTAATATTTGAAACATTTTCTTTTTTGCCACTTGTTTAACCTTGCCTTTTATTAGGTATATTTTTGAGCTAATTTTCTCTGAAATCAGGAACAAATTACACTTAGAGAAGAACAATGCATTGATAGATATTAAAATCATGTAAGAAAAGTGTTTTTATATATTTTTTCAGTTGTGTCCTACTTTACACTACAAAGCTCAGTTTGATATTCATTACCTTTGCACAAGAATGTGTAAAACAAGAATACTTGAAACATTATCAATGGGAGGGTCATATTTTTACAGAAGAGATCATCTGGCTTAGGTAAAATATCTGCAACACAGAGATATATTATCTATTTCTCATCAAGTCCATTCAGCAAAATAATCACAGTGAAGAAGCTCATTGTAACTTGACCATCTGATCTGTCACAGGGCTCTTATGACAGATCATACTGTTGATGACTTGGTTATTTTATACTAAATATAAAATAATAATAAGATGCCCTATGCCATCTCAGGAACTTTGCCACCTAAATGTATGTGTGTGTGCATATATATATATATATATATATATATATATATATGTATGTGTGATAAATTTCATAGATGATAAATTAAATTATATATATATAATTTTGTATTGCCTTTAGCCATATTTGAACATATTATCATAGCAATAATAAACATTTTGCTTGTATTCCTGTTTTATATTATCTGAACCCTCACCCCTGCCCTGGACAGTTTAATAATGCAAAGATATCATCTAATGTAGTATCCTTTTAACTTCCTTCTTGCTTACTCAAATACCCTCCCCCAAACGTTAATAATTTCTCTATTGTCATGCAATTTATCACTACACTTGATGAGATTAAAGTCACTAGGATACCCTTAAGCTGTATGGCTATTAACATATATTTACGTTATCTAATACCTTGGAACTTAATACTTTCCCCTGAATAACTTACGTAATATTTTCATGAAATATTAAATAAATACAAATTATCATCAATCAGCAGATGACAAGACTTGTCATGAAATTTTAAGTGATTTATATAAAGTCATAGAGTTTTATCTCCAGAATTATATATATATATGTTTAAGATTATTAAAGGTTAATTAAATGGCTACATTTCTGACAGCATTGCTCTACCATCAGTTTTTAATTCTTCCTAGTGTTTATACATATATATAGATTTGCTTGAATAAATTCTAGATACATTAAATGAAGCTTATAGAAACTGATTCTATTTTATTATATTCCCATATATTCATAAATATATCCAATCATGATGAATGATGGCATTTCTCAAATGAGGTTCACTTTTCTAAGTATCCATTTATGCCTTGGATGTTTATGGAGTTCCCTGTCCTAGGGCAGCCTTATCCCCAGCAGACCTGGAGGACTGAGTGCTGTAAGAGAGGAAACAGACACTTAAACAGATAAATATGGGATGATACGGAGCTGTTAGGATATAAAATGTGCTGAAGAAAGTATAGAAGCAACCCATACTTAATGTAGATATGAAGTAGGTAATCCCTGTATAAGTCTTAAGGTAGGAATTATCTAGAAAAAGTGGGAGGATCAGAGTTTTTCAAACTGTTAAGAATATGGCGAGATTGGTTTATCATGAGAGGAGGGTTTTGAGTTAAAAGAAATTGTCGATTATCAAAAATAAAAAGTGGGAGATATCCTCGTGTTTAATTTATGCCTTTAATATCCCTCTGCTAATGATAACATGTGACTGAGTCACAGAGGAGCGTGCAAAGAATATTTTAACTTGCAAACGTCAGTGTAAAAAACAGTAGGTGGACAGGAAACACTTGTTGATTTAATTTATCTCAAGTATCAGCAGCCTGTTTTAGATGTATATTTTGTGTTGTATATCTGGTAAGTTTTCTTATGAGAGTAGGTTATCTCCATTGAATTTTCTAATAATCAAATTCTAGCCAAGCTAACACATCAGCACATCAAGACATTCAGACAGGGTTACAAGGTACATCTTTGTGTTCGCCTTTGGATCACATATCTCACAGATAACTATTTACTTATCATTGATTTAGAGGAAAGCACACTCAGGTATTTCCTGAAATACTTTAATAGGCAGGTAATAAAATGCCTGCCAAATGATAAGCTTCCTGGTGGCAGGAACCCTTTTTGTTGGATTTTTACTGTATCTTAAATGCCTTAGGAACTTAAAATATGTTTGTCAACTGTCACCCATGCTGATCATAATGCTGTAATTCCTGTAAAAAGCTATCATCTACAGACTGGGGTCTCAAAATGGAAATTTAAATTGAAGTATGTTGGGTCTCATTGAAAACTATTGCCCTTGATTGCTTTTACTTCTATGTTAAAGGCCTAACAGTGGTTTATTTCACTTGACACAAGCATCAAGAAGATGATTGAAGTGGATAATTGTCACCACGTGTTTATTGATCATAGAGGGGGAAGAGCATCACAGAAATAAGTGCTTTTCCGTTAAACAAGTTGCCTCGTGAAAATTTCTAAACCACCGCAGTCCAAACATTTTAAATGTTTACTTCAGACATTATTACAATCATTTTTGACTCTTTACTGCAAAGGATAATAAATGTAGTTTTACTTTTTTAGCTAACATAACATTTTTATTTCTTTCAGAAGTCTAAACGTGTGGGTCGGAGACATTACTGTCTGGGAAGTACAGTGCTCAATGGCCTAGAGATTACTAATTAATTTAGGTTTATATGTTGGGATTTTTTCTTTCTAATACAATTAATCTCTTTCTTCTCTTAGAGTTCCAAACACTATTAGTTATATAAATAACTTGCTTGCATCATTTATTGCAACTTTTGAATTTATATTTGTCCCTATCTAACAAAATATTTACATATTTTAACATTTTTACCAAATTTACTCACTCCTAATACTGTGTTCACAAAGCGTTGTCTTCTTCTCTTTATCCTGCTGTATTAAAGAATAGTAGAATTTTTATTAACTGTCTCTTTTTGTGTTTATTACTTTAGCTCTTACAATAAAATTAGTTACAATGGACATATGAATAAGAATGAGGTAATATTTTATGTAGGCAGAAAATATGTATTAAAATCATAAAGAACCAAAGAAAATTTTGAGAAGGAGATAAAATGATTTTATATGGAATGATTTTCTATTTCTTTGATTTTAGAGGTGACATAGCTTTGAAGTACACAGTATTGGGAAAATGTGATATTCTTACTAAGGGAATTATATAGCATTTGCAACTATCTAAATTTTATCTTTGGGTAACTTTTAGGATATGGACTTCTTCATGATAATCTTAAGGTACTTTTGGAATTGGAATTCCAAATATAGATTACTTAAGAGGGGCAACTGTTTAATACTATATTTTTGAAGATAGTTTGGGGTGTAAATATTTATTTGTTTTTGAAGGTAGTTTGGGGTGTAAATATTTATTTGTGTCATTCTACCTCAGGTGGAACATCCTCAGAGATCTAAAAAGGCTGTATGGCATAAACTACTGTCCAAGCAGAGGAAAAGGGCTGTTGTAGCCTGCTTCCGGATGGCCCCCTTATATAATCTGCCAAGGTCGGAATTACTTTATTTTTTGTAATAGATCAATGTTATTTTTTCCTAGTAAGTGACAGGTGTTTAGAATCTACCTTAATAGGGGTACAATAGTCCAAGAGAAGGATGGAAAAGCTTTATTGATTCTTCTACATAAAACTTGACTAATTTTGTTGGATATTTTCGGAGAACTGTGGTCTTTAATGTAATTATTAAATGACTCTTACTGAGGAATATCTGCTCACATATGTGAGGCAAGAGAGAGTCATTAGGAGTTCTTTCTTTGTCCTGGATTTGAATCAGAACATGATCTGAATCATTCTTTGGCATCAGACTTGTCTTGATTTGAATTCTGACCTCCCAACTTCTCTGCCCCATGACATTGGTCAAGTTATTTACTGGCGAATTTTCTCATCTGTATCATAATGGGATCAGCCTTATAGAGTTGTTCAGATTATTTAATGGGTTGATGTATACAGAGTGCTTAGAAGTGAGCTAGTAGGTTTATGTCATGATAAATGTTAGTCATTATTATTATTTTTGTAATTATTAGCATTAGGGGAAAAGAACTGACTTATGGGAATAATGTAAAAAGATTTGACAGGCCCGTCAACCTTCTCTTAGACATAGAGCAGACATACTTAATAGAGAAGTAGCCTGGTACATTCAAGTCTGGCTTAGGTGGTCCAGGGTACCATTTCAGTCACCTTGGAGTTCTCTGAGAAACTATGCTCTTTCCCACTCTGAAGTTTATACAAATTGCATCACCTCTATGTCTCAGAAACAGGACTCAGCTCAGCTACATCTCTTTTGTGGAACATCTCTGACCAAGCCATGCCCCTCTACTCCTTGCACATCATACCACTTTCCTACAGTATTAAGGCTATTTGTCTCTTTGATTCAGACTTTGAGATCCTGTACTAGTTTTGTTCCATTTTCTTTCTTCAGCACCTAGAACAGTGACTTGTACATTGACATTCAGTAAGAGTTTGAGTGAATGTATAAGGCAAAGAAAAAAAAGAAACATAAGCAAAACAAATAGAGGAAACATCATACTTTTCCCTTTTGCTAAGACAGCTGTATTTCTTGCCATCGTGTCACACTCACTGGGTCTAAAATGTATTAGCATCCTCCTCAAATGTGCTACTTCTCAATTCTCTGACTCAATTATGCTGTCACCTTTTGGTCAGATAGAATATTAACCTTAATATCTAGAACCAGAAATACCATTTAACCCAGCAATCCCATGACTGGGTATATACCCAAAGGATTATAAATCATTCTACTATAAAGACACATGCACATGTATGTTTATTGCAGCACTGTTCACAATAGTAAAGACTTGGAACCAACCCAAATGCCCATCAATGATAGACTGGATAAAGAAAAAGTGGCACATATACACCATGGAATACTATGCAGCCATAAAAAAAGAATGAGTTCATGTCCCTTGCAGGGACATGGATAAAGCTGGAAACCATCATTCTCAGCAAACTAACACAGGAACAGAAAATAAAATACCACATGTTCTCACTCATAAGTGGGAGTCGAACAATGAGAACACATGGATACAGGGAGGGGAACATCACACACTGGGGCCTGTCGGGGGGTGGGGGCAATGGGAGGGAGAGTATTAAGACAAATACCTAATGCATATGGGGCTTAAAACCTAGAAGATGGGTTGATAGGTGCAGCAAACCACCATGGCACATGTATACCTATGTAACAAACCTGCACATTCTGCACATGTATCCCAGAACTTAAAGTAATGAAAGCAAAAAAAAAGAATATTAACTTTGAATTCACATTATCATTTCTTTTTGGTTACTCCTATACTGTCATTGCCCAGATTTCATCAGTTTCCCTTTGAACTACTTCACATTCCCATCCTTCCCTCCATCACCACCTCTTCAAGTCGCTTGTTCCTTGCCTCATATCAAGTTGATGGCAGTGGTTTCTGAGTTAGTTTCTGTGATGTCATAGAGTTCTTCCATCCTCTCCAAAATGTCATTTTCAAAATGGTATCCTTTATTCCAGTGGTTCGCCAACCTGGTGCTTTTAAGAAACACACTTAAACTCATTTAAAAAGTATTCAGGCCTCAACTTATTAAATTAGAATTTCAGTGAGAGCCCAGCATGTGTGCTACTTAAAAGCTACACAGGTGACTCTGATGAACCCAGAAGGCTGAGTCTGTGCTTTGGCATGCCACTCTCACATACAAGAATGTATGATGATTTCTAGCAGTTCCGGCTGCGTTGGCAGTTGCCCCCTCTGATTTCCAAGGCCCTTCATAAACCTGTCTAACTGTTACGTCTCATGAGTCCTTAACCCAATTTGTTATCATAAAGCTCAGCTTTCCATCCTGCAATGGCACCGTCTCTCATTCTATCACATCTGTTGTTGTTTTATGATGTTCCCTTCATGACATTCTTTTATTCTTTCTTACCTTGACATCTTATCCACATCTCTTACTAACTTCATCATGAATTCCACTGATTCTTCTCATCTGCACTGGTCTTTTTTCACAGGCGGCCATTTATGATAAGTAGTGCAGGGTTTAATCTTTGAGTATGTACTCCCATAAAGTTCACTTAATACCTTTTGTTTTGGAATCCTCAGGGCCATCCATTTGTTTTTTAATGTTTGCTTGGACAGAGACTAAGTCCTCTATTGACACTGATTACATTGCTTATCGAGAGACATGTTATATGATAATAGTCATTTAATGAACATCTAATCAATGCGATTTACATCCTTTATCTCATTTTAAGGCTTACAAAACTGAAATGTGGTTGGAGTTATCCTGGTTTTATAAAGGAATAAACTGAAATTTGGGAAAGTCGAGTCACTTGACCAATGTTACAAAGCTTGGAAATGACTGAGCCAGGATTGAAATGCAAGTCACTGTGCGCTATGTTTGCTGCAAGAAGCATTGTCTTTCAGGAGGAGAGTCAAGAATAGAGAATTTATTTCTATTTTACACTTTCAGTGCACAGATAATCTAGTAATAAAGCACTACTCAATACAATTTCAACTTATTTTCTAAACACCCTTTTTCTGAAATTGTGCTTACCTTTCAGGCATCGGGCTGTCAATCTCTTTCTTCAGGGATATGAAAAGTCTTGGATTGAAACAGAAGAACATTACTTTGAAGATAAACTGATAGAAGATTTAGCAGTATGTTTTTAGTGGGGCTCTAAGATGAAAGAGGGTCTAGGCTTGGTGCAGCAATGTTGGCGTGAGCAGTCATTATATAACATTGAAGGAAAAAATATCATTACAGTATATGGGTATTAGGAAACTTTTAAATCTTAATTGTTACTGCATTCAATGCTTATGGGAAAATGTGCTCTTGTCATTTCCAAGAGATCTCATCAACATCAAGGGGTTGAGAATTTAAAATGAATAATATAGAAGTATTATTAATTAAACATGATTTAGTCTTTCTTTTAAATTCCTTCTCAAAGCACCTATAAACACCTGAGAACCAGGATAGACTATAAAAGAATGAACTGTCAAGAAGTTATCCACCTAAATTAAGTAGAAGGTGAACAAAAAATTGCTGGTTTTTAGAAATCAACAGGGCAGAGAATGATAGACTGAACACAGGAGACTGAACACATGGTAAATGTGGAGCATGAGAAGTAGAATTTTCACCAGACTGTGCTGATAAAGAGCTTGTGAGTTCAGCACAGAACAGCAGTCAGTATCATCTTTTCTAAGTCATGGACCCATCTAAATATCTGGCAAAAGCCATCTTCTCAACAAAATTTACAAGCCATCTCAAAACTTGGCAGACTAGTCAGAGGCTTCATGATTCCCAAGATAAAGACATCTTGTGTAAAGTTATTTTTTAACTCACAGATTATTAGGGAATATAATGGATAAATTAATCTAATTCTTAAAAGCCTAATCTTGATTGTCCCCATATTTTAAAATGATTTTTATCTGTCTTTAGAATAAAAAATGTGTAGACTATTGGATATCTTGTGGAAATCTGCCCATTATCCACATTAAGGCTTAATTACAGGAAAGAACACCATTCATGTACAGAGAAAATTAGTTTCCATGGCTAAGTCAGTGGAGATATAAAACTCAACAAAAAGTTGGATGTAATTGAATTCTGCCAATAAAAATGCTTAATAATTTTCCTCGCTATTAAAGTTCTATCCGATAGTAAAAAAAAAATATTTTTTAAGTTTTAAAAGTAACTGAAAATAAGAAAAAAAGTATAAGTGGTTCAAGCATTAACTCATTTAGTATTATTTACGTATCATGCTGTGTGTAAGCGAAGAAAATATTTCACTTTATAAGCAATTTGCACTGCTATGGGAACTAAATTTTCACACTTGGGGTGACTCAGGATTTTATTGCAAATATTTGTAAATCGAGTCCTCCCTAAAGCTAAAATCCATGCAGCAAATATACTTTGAGTTATGAAAATGCTTATAAGAATGGCATTTGGTATTTTTAAATGATATAAGTTATCCCTGCTCATATTAATTTTTGGTCAAATTATTAAATATCTCTGTTTTGAGCTGCATAATTTTACAATGGTAATGTAACAGATATCTAGCATATTATATTACATTTATATATGTTATAGCATGTATATTACATATTTACACTTACATGCAACACATATACATACAAGCTTTTATATACACATACACACATATATACATATATAGCATGTATAATGCATATAAAATACACACACACACACACACACACACACACCCCACAACAGGGAAGGAGGAACGTTCGCATTCCTTTTATTCTTCATTGCTGTCCTTCACAGTGCTTTTGGATTTGAGTGAACATTTTTTTTTAATGTGACATTTTATAAATTTGACTTTTTTGCAGAAACCTGGGGCTGAACCTCCAGAAGAAGATGAAGGCACTAAGAGAGTTGATCCTCTACATCAGCTGATCCTTCTGTTTAGTCGGACAGCTTTAACAGAGAAATGGTATGGTTGGGAGGGTTCCTATGAGACATAGGAGGAGCAAATAAAGACACCCGTGTCTGAGTATTCTGTGCCATGTGTTCATGTTTTAAGTTCATCTTGTTGTTGTTAGGAGAGAGAATTGTTCAAAGATAACAACCAGCCTGGCATGTACCTAGGGACCGACACTCATTCAATTTTAGGCTTCAGCAACTACCTACTAGTTCTAGTTTTTCTTAACAACTTTGTAATTAATGATGTAGTTGATTCTGATTCTTCTTATGAAATGGTTTTTCTGTTTATCACAAACAAACTTTATAAATAAAACAAAAGAACCAAAGCAAATTCCAGTGCCGCAAGTGTATGGAGACCGATGGTGGCCCCAAATTTTCTGGGTAGATAGTGTCTCCATTGTGCAGTGGGTCTTAGGAAACCTCTAGAGGCTAAGTGAGCCATCACCTCAACTTGGAGGTATCTCTGAGATCTATTTCAAGGGCATTGCCCATTTTTCTTGTCTTCTGCAGCCTTAGTCATATGAATTCACCAAAGCCACAAAGGGCAAACCTCTCTGAAGTTACATAAGAAATGCACTGGTAGGCCTGATCGTCAAAATGTGCTCAGCATCTGTCATTACGGAGGGCAATGCATAAATTGGCTGTGCAGATGGGACATAGCAGAGGCTAGAGGACCTTTATCTGCTGCCCTGCAATGGGAAAGAAAGCCTGTTTTGCCCCCAGGCCTTTCCCATTCTCTGCAGAATTTGGGATGTAATTTAATTAAAAACTCATATCCACATGAATCTCCTCAGAAGAGTTCATTTGACCTCTTTGCCTGCCATAATAATGTACATTTCTCCCTCTTAGCTAATGTGATCTATCCTTTCTCTCACTATTTCTCTCTCTCTTATTATTTCCTAACTAACAAAATCATCTCATTCCTAAGCATAGAGCAACTCTCTCTCTGGCATTGTCAGGTAATGAGGTATTTCTCATAAGTGAATTTTTCTCATGGCTGAAGTTTAAAACTGCTGAAATAACTTTGCAAATTTTAGGTATATTTTTGGTGGAAACTTTTCTTCACGTAGTCATGGTTTCCATGCTTCTCAAAAAGAAGATAATAAACATATTTTAACCTTTCTTAATTTTTAGGGATCATTATTATGGCCATCTTGTTTTTTAATTGTCATATCATAATTTGGGGACTCTTTCCATCAAATGTCAAATTTCACTTCTGTCAAAAGCCCCCACCTCATTTAAGTTTGCTTGTTTCAAGTTTTGTAGTCTGAAGAAAATTAAAATTATTACATTTGTGTGTAAACCAAAAGACAGTTTATTTTGTGAAAATTGAAGGCCCTTCTGTAAGGTAAGATGGGACAGCTATTTAGGATCCCCGGGATCTTTGCTTTCTGATTTCAGGATATTTCTGAATATCCTAATATTGTCTTAGTTTTGTGTTCATTTAATTTTAAAAAGGTATACTTGTTAGAAAAAGAACAAAGGTTATTTTAAGCAGCGATGATACGTGTGCATGTGCCTAGCCTTCTGCTTAAACACTGATGTTTTCTTCTTGCTTTCCCCAGCAAACTGGAGGAAGATTTTTTATATATGGCCTATGCAGATATTATGGCAAAGGTAAATAAGTATCCTTCCTGATTTTCATGTTTAATTTTAATAAAGGGAAGTAACTTTCATCTGAAAAGGATAAGAATCTGTGTATTTCATTAATTTCAACTTTTTGTTTGTAGCATGAATCTCCGTTCTAAATTCCATGGCAGGTCATCATTGTTTCCTACTTAAACATTTTATTTATGAGGAGCCATAACTTTTTCTAAACATTCATTCATTCAACAAATATTTGCTGGACATCAATATATTGGAGATAACATGTGAAGAAGAAAGAAGGGCACACACTACACCTTTGTGGAGTTTTTTGTCTGATGGGGAAGATAAAGTTTAAGCAAATGGTTGTAGAAAAACCCTGATGAACTTAATGGCAGAGAAATGTATCCCTCCATTTTTACACTGCTATAAAGAATTACCTGAGACTAGGTAATCTATAAGGGAAACAAGCTTAATTAACTCACAGTTACACATGGTTGGGGAGGTCTCAGGAACTTATAATCATGGCGGAAGGCAAAGGGGAAGTAAGGTACATCTTACATGGCGGCAAGAGAGAGAGAGAATGGAGTGGGGGGCTGTCAAACACTGTTAAACCATCATATCTTGTGAGAACTCACTCACTATCGTGAGAACAGCATGAGGGAAACCGTCCCCATGATCCAATCACCTCCCACCTTGTCCCTCCCTTGACACTTGGGGATTACAATTCGATATAAGATTTTGGTGGGGATACAGAGCCAAACCATGTCAAGAAACTCTTAGGAGTATTGGGAACAGGTCCCATGGCATAGTAGTGAGGTCTGCTTAAGGAAGTCTTTGGCTGTTGAACCATGAGTTGGCCATGCAAAAATAGTACAGCTTAGTATTTACTGAGTGTTTATGTCATTTACTCCTCTTGACAAGTGGATAAATTGAGGATAAAAGTGGAGTGAAGGTTTTGCTAAGGCTTCTCACTTGGGTACCATGTACTGAGATGGCTGCACCAGAATAATTACAGGCCTGGGGTGAAGAGAGAAGAAGGCAAAGTAAATTGTGGATGCGTTAAAGATGCCTGTGAGACATCTAAGTGGAGGTGTCAAACATGCAATTAGACATTCATGTCTGACATTCAGTATCTCAGGTAAGGCTTATAAATATAGACTTGGAATTTATCAGCATTAGAAGCCGTAGGAGTAGATGATCTTACCCAGGAAGAGATGACAGCATGAGGAGAGGAGGAGGCCTAGGACCTAGCCTGTAAGGACACAGAACATTAAAAGATGGTTAGAAGGAAAGGAGCTCATAAAAAAGTTGGAGAGAACCTTAAGTGTGAGCTAACATAGGAGCTAGAAGCTATAGGACTTATTGTGTGGTCACCAAAATCATGTTCTGCTGTGAGATTGAGCAAGGTAGGGATTGAAAATCTCCAGATTTATTTCATGTATATCACATAAGCAGAGTAAGAACAGCTTCTGCGGTTTGTGGAGAGGGGCCATGGAGTGGGGACATGCTGTAGTGTGAGAAAGTAAGTAGTGATTCAGATGTGAACAGAAATAGTATAGTTGTTTCTTCATTGCAAAGATTGAGAGGGAACAGAAAGATATAAGGTAACAAATATCTAGATGGAATTGTGAGGTTGAAGGGGATTATTTTTGTTTGTTTGCCATTTGTTTGCTTGTTTTTAAAGAGAGAGCCATCTAAGCACACATATATTCTGGTGAGAAGGAGCCAACAGAATAGGAAAGGGAATCATTTGTGAAGTGAGGTCTGGAGTCCATGAGACCTGCTGGAGAAGACAGGTTACAGGACATAAGGGAAAAGCCATGGCTTTCTAATTTATTTTAAACTCTAACCTACAGCAAGAAATACATTTACCCGGTACAGTCATCTCTCAGTATTCATGGGGGATTGGTCCCAGGACCCCCAGTGGGATATCAAAATCCAAGAATGCTCAAATCCCTGACTAATGGCATAGTATTTGCATGTAACCTACACACATCCTCCTGTATACTTAGATCATCTCTAGATTACTTATAATACCTAATACAATGTAAATGCCAAGTAAATAGTTGTTCAACTCTATCATATTGTTATGGAATAATGATAAGAAAAATATCTGTACATGTTCAGTACAGACACAATCACCCATTTTACTTTCTCCAAATATTTTCTATCCACAGTTGGTTGACTCCATGGATTCAGAACCAATGGAGGGCCAACTGTATATTTATAGAAACATAAAACTGTATGTTTAAAGTAACATAAAAATATATGCCATGAAAGAAAAGTTTCACAAAATTTTACTCTTCCTATGAGCAATGTAGTCTGAACTTTTCCATTCTATTTAAACAGAGTTGTTTTTATTTTATCATGAATCACCAAATTGTTTTTATGTCTGATTGATGAGCTGAAACACATAGTTTAATAAACACTGGGTTAAAAGATAAAAGGATAGGGCTGGGCACGGTGGCTCACACCTATAATCTCAGCACTTTGGGAGGCCGAGGCGGATGGATCATTTGAGATCAGGAGTTTGAGAGCAGCCTGGCCAACATGGTGAAACCCCGTCTCTGCTAAAAATACAAAAATTAGCCAGGCACGGTGGTGCACACCTGTAATCCCAGCTCCTCAGGAGGCTGAGGCAGGAGAATTGCTTGAATCTGGGAGGCGGAAAGTTGCAGTGAGCCGTGATTGCACCACTGCACTCCAGGCTGGGCGATGGAGTGAGAGTCCGTTTCAAAAAAAAAAAAAAAAGATAAAAGGATAAAAGATACAAAGGGAAGAAGGGAAGGCTGCCAGGATAATGGGAGGTTGGAAATGTTTCCTTTTAAGGTTATTTGCTCGCTCTCTCTCTGAAGACAAAAGGACAGTCACCTGCTGACACCTAAGTGTTTGATGAAGTCTATAAAGGAAGGCTAGAGGAGAGAGAGAAGCAAAGGAAGGCTGGAGGAGAGAGAGAAGCACTGAAAGAGACATCGTGGCAATTGGCATGGCACATGGGCTAGAAATTAAAATAGGACTCACGGACTGTGAAGGAAGCCTGGTTTATTTTAGGCTGTTGTCTACGAATTTGTAGCAGTAATGCTCCCCCTGGCTGTGTGAGGACAACTAGCAATTCTCAGAACCAAATGCAAATTCTGAGAAGCCAGGAAGTTAGATTCATCAAGGGTGAAGATTTCTGCCAGACTCTTGTTGAGAACAGTAGATCAAAGCAGGTTTGTATGTTGCTAGGAGGTGGCTTGTAAGGAAATGAAGAAAGAGGGAGGTGAGAAAGAGATTGTAGAGCAGCCCCCAGCCTGGGTGTTCTCTGCAGCTGAAGAATCGAAGTGGGCTGAACAGGTAGAAGCTCCTGGTTTGAGAATAGGTAGAAGCTCTTGATTTAAGAATAGGTTGTTTCTGATTGTTAGAGTTCTTCCTTGTGAGTGAAACTGAATTTGCCTCCATATTGATTTTGTTGGATCCTAAAGCTAAATCTAGTTTCTTTTGATAGATGGTCAAATATTTGAGGAGGGCTACCTTGTTGATGCTTTATCTCAAATTTTCCCCTTCATAATTAAATAATCATATTCATTTTATTGTTTAATGTAACTCAGGGATGTCCAGCTTGCACCACGCAGTTTGTTACACTCGGCACATTCTCCAGTATATTCATATGTGCCACCCAGAAGTTAATCAAACACGGTATTCCAGTTACGACCTCACCTGCGTAGTGTGTATGGGAACTGTACCCTCACTTGCACTGCCTTAGGATCTTATACATTTGCCATCAATGGCAAGAATGCATTAAATTTTCAGCCAGGTCATGTCAGCTATCCTGTATTATACTGTTGACTTTTAATTTTTTAATTAAGTATATGTCATCATTTCTATAATTCAAGTCAGACCATTGCCCCAGGCTGAAATCTTTCTAACATTTGATTCTGTCATACACTGTTATCTCTTTCCATTTGTGTTAACCACAAACTTAAGTGTGATTGATTTCTCTGTTTATCTCAGTTGGTAGTGTGCAGCTGAAATTTTTATACCCTTTCCCAGACTGGTTAACCTACTTTGTTTTCAATCCATCTAAACATACTTTTATAAAACTCATATTTCTCATCTCCTTTCATGAGATTCTTAAAGAAATCAAGATGTTACTGTGATTGCTTAAACTCGAATTCTAACTTTGGTAAAACTGCCAAAGATGGATGAGTATTCCTCAGTGATTTGCTTGATAACCCATTTTAGACTATTGTTGATTATTAATATCGAACTTCCTAGCGGGTAGTTTTTGGAAGCTGTCTTTCCTCATTTTAAAAATTAGCATCCCAGTTGTCTGGAACTTTCACTTGGCCTTCATGGTTTCTCGGTTTACCAACAGTCATTCTGCATCCACGGATGTTACTTTTGCTTTGAGTCTTGATACTTGAGACTTGAACTCACTTTAAGAGACTGTTGTATGTGTCTTCCTCCACCACTGCAGGTCCCTTGGAAGGCATCATTTATATCTTACTTAGGTTTTTGTTTTTCAGTTTTAATTGTTTTTTAAACTTAGGAACACAGAGTTGGGTTAATGATAACTCTGAATTCATGATACACAGTCACTGTTAGTCCACTAGTGTCTACTTTTAAAGTTACTTAGTCATTTCTAATAATGTAGTAACTACCCATAAACCCACTTCTGACAAGAAACAACCTAGAGAATTTACGTGTTATCCTATGGGCTTCTCATTAACCTATACCCTGTCTCCCCACACAAAGAAACCATCATTCTAAACCTTGTGCTCAAGATGCCCTTGCTTTTCTTTTCATGTAGTTTTCATTTATTTATATATAGATAGATAAATTTTCATATATATATAATTTAAGTTGTTACTGACTTTTAAAAGGGCAGTAGGCTGTGTGTAATATTTTGGGCTCTACTTATTGAATTAATAGTGTTTTCTAAGATTCCTCCATACTTTTTTGTGCTGTTGGAGTTCATTTTTTTTTATTGTTGTGTTATTTCCCTTTGGGCAGATATACCAGAGCTTATCCATTTACCTTTTTCGTTGATAGACTTTTGTATCACCTCTGTGTTTTTGCTAATGTGAACAGGGATTGAATGCCTATTCTTATCCATTTCACCTATCTTACAAGAGCTACAGGGTGTACCCATTTTCAAATAAAGGAACAAATGTCATACTGTTTTCCAAAGTTACTGCATCAATGGACATTCTTAACAACAATGGTTAAGAGAGATTCTGGTGATCCACACCCCCTCCAATATTTGATATATGAGTTACTGACTTTTGTCAACCAAATGGGTATGAAATGGTATTTTGCTGGAGTCATGATTTTCATTTCTCTTGGCTAGGTACTTTTCTGTATTACAAACATCACTTCTTTCTGAAACAAAAGAGCTGATGAGTGGTTCTGCACGTCCTCTCTATTATGATGAGTACAGCATCTGCTCTAAATCATGTGCTTACTGCTCCTTGTTGACCATACTTTGGTGATAATTTGAAAAATCATTTTACATCTTTGTATCTTTCAAGCCACACTTCATTCTAAACTCTATTCCCCTACTCCTATCATATATACTTCCTCTTTAAAAAATCCTATGGAGAACTTCAGTGCATCCCATCGGTTTGCTGTTGCCACCCCTTTTTGTCTGCATCATGCCTACCCTGCTCGATTCCTTAGAATGTCTCTTTACCAGCTGTCATCCCTCTTGGACTATTTGAAGCTGCTTCACCCCAACGGTGGTTTTACCAATTTGAATAAGGTAACAGTATGGAGGAAGATATCTGCAATGATATCACAAATTAAACACTCAACAATGTTGCTGCTGTTTTGAGTTTCCAGCTAAGGGAACTCTTTCCTCCTAGTTCTCCTCCTTCTCTTATTAACTTTTTAAAATATTTAAGATACACATCGTTATGCCTAGTGTTCCATTCTTTCTTGGTTAAAAGTATAAAATGCTGCGGTCACATTCTTATGAGTTTCTCTCTTCTGTCTCACCCATGAGCTCTCTGTTAGTCAGATTTAAATCCACAATGAAAGTTTCTGGGTTTTGATTCCTTAGTCTTCTGCGGAGTTATCAAATCAGAAAGGCAACTAAGGAATGCATGAAATATACTTCTGTGGCAGAATGAAATTTTCAGCAGATACTGGCAAGCTGAAGAGCCCTCATTACTGTGTTATGTATTCGTGCTGCCAGTTTTGAATTCTGTTGTGGATACCTGAATGATCTGACATATCCTCCATTTTATTTATTTTCTTCGAAATTATTTATTCCACACCTGCCCCTTTATGTATTTAGCTTATTCACCTTTTCCTTCCTGGCAAAAGAAGGACTCTTCCTTGTCTAGAATTTAGCATTCTGATCCAGAAAGCCAAATCCTGCTACAGGACTGTCTAATATAACTTCCCATTTGCTTAGCATTATCATCTATGTCACGTGGATGCCATTTGCTATTGAAGAACATATCTTTTGTTCCAGTAAATCCTTCTGTTTCTCTACAGTATATTCAAAAGCTGCTAGAAATCTGATACCTTTTTTGTTTGTGTGATCTTAGCATATTCTCAAGCTAATTAGTAGAAGTTTAAAGTAGTTTTTATAGGTTTGGTGAATTTGTCAGATACAGTCTGTACACCAAGTAAATTCAGGTTTAATAGTTTTTAAAAATCACAAATTTTAACTTCATTAGGAGCAAATCTCATTAAATTTTCCTAGGAAGATTTTTTTAAAACAGTTAAAATATTTTATTTCAAAATACTTTTTTATTAAAAATTTTTTTCAGCTAGTGCTTTAAATGGATTATCCCTTTGTACAAAAGCAAACATGGCTTATGAATTTTATGGCTTAAAAACATATCATTATAATCCCAAATAACAATTTGTCTGAATGTATTCTTTATCTCAATCCTTGTGTCTCTCCTATGTTTCTGAAGGTCATGAAATTTTTATAGAAGACTATGTCTTTGAGAAAATGTAAAATTTCATATCCTTGAGACATTGTATATTAGTGTTCTAATTTGCATAGAGAGTAAGCATGCTTGTTATCTGATAAAATTCCTATTCTTTTTACTCCTATTTACTAATGCACACTGCTAATTATTGGGAATAATGGGAGATATTAGAATAGGTAGTCTTAAGGAGCAGCTAAGCAAAATTCCTCTGTTTTCGACATTAGATGTACAGTATGTATTGATGGAGGACTGCAGATTTGCCTTCCAAATCTGTTTTGCTAAAGTTCTCATGAGTTCTTATTTTTTAAATCCTGGCTGACTAATAACATGGGAGACAGAGCAGCAGAAACTCAAAGGAGAACATTTCCTGCTTTCTGAGGGAATCATTAACATCTTTGCTTTTGTGATGAAATGTGCAGTTTAACATATTACCCAGACAATGAAACTGTCCTAGGCCTGCGTCCCCACCTTTATTTCCTCCTTTGCAAACTATGCTCATGTGCCTATCATTATAAACAGAAAGCGTGGTGCTATCATGATAAACAGAAAGGGTAGTATATATTTGTTGAATGAATGAAAGAATATGACAAACCTTTTAGAATTTATCACGGAGTGAGTGGAAGGGTCACATTGTTTACCTTCCCTCCCATCCCCAGTTCATCTCCATGCCCAGAGTACTGTGTCTCACCGAATTAAAAATATGTTTATGATTTGTAGCTTATATTTCATTATCTGCCTTCATACACCCCATGGAAACATTGAATGCTTACCAAGCAGCAGAAATACGTGTAAGGGTTGGAACAATCTAACTTTGATGAGCTGTAGGGTTCTTCCTACTATAGCTATTGGTTAATGACCAATTTCTTTTGGTCACTATTATACTACAGACCATAATAATAATAGCAGCTGAGATGTATTAAAAGCATGTATTTTTCAGACTCTTTTTTCTTTATTTTATTTTTTTGAGATGGAGGCTCATTCTGTCACCCAGGCTGGAATGCAATGGCACAATCTTGGCTCACTGCAGCCTCCGCCTCCTGGGTTCAAGCAATTCTCCTGCCTCAGCCTCCCGAGTAGCTGGCATTACAGGTGCCCGCCACCATGCCCAGCTAATATTTGTATTTTTAGTAGAGACAGGGTTTCACCATGTTGTTCAGGCTGGTCTGGAACTCCTGACCTCAGGTGATCTGCCCGCTACTGCCTCCCAAAGTGCTGGGATTACAGGGGTGAGCCACCTCGCCCGGTCTAATTTTAACTAATGGTCATTATATTTGCCTGTATTCGTGCATTGCAATGGCAGCATAAAAAAAAGAGAAAATCCTTTTAAGGTTTGCAGTTTGGTTTGAATGAGGCAAATGTATGAATAAGTAGCGGGTATAGTATGATGTGGACCTCATAGTTATCTCTGTTACCTATAAAATATGTAATTTAATATTTTATTTTTGTAAAAGCACTATATATAATTTTCATGTCATGAATTCATTGATTATGTCATCTAAGCATTCTATCTTACATGTGTTTAAACAAGGTTGATGATAAATTAATACAAATGATTTGCTCTTCTATGTCTAATGTTCTTTTGCACTTTCTAAAATCTCAACATATTCCTGTCTCCTTTTTTTTTTTTTTTAAATATACAGAGTTGTCATGATGAGGAAGATGACGATGGTGAAGAGGAAGTGAAGAGTTTTGAAGTAAGATGGATCTTTCTGGATTTGCCTTTCTTTCTATCTTGAAACATTGTTTCATAGCTTATAACTGACATTTATGTTTCTTGCTTCATGGCTTATTGCAGCTTATTGTGTCAAGGAACTGCATGTCAGAGCTGGATGGACAAACCTGAGTCCTAACATTTGCTGAAGTTAAGACCAAGGATCATAGAATAGTTAAATAATATAATGAAGCACATATGTTCAGAATGAGTGTTCCTGAGAACCCTCAGAGATGAGACGGCTTCAAATTGGTCTCATCTCAGCGATGTGGTCTGGAATTTCCAACAGACGTGAGGAAAATATTTATTGAAGAACAACATGATGTCAAGTTTTTCAGTAAACCCTTGGTTTGATATTTTTTCCTGAATAGAAGTCTTAAAGATTTGGCCTTAAAGACTTCTGCCCAATTAGATCACTCATTCCATGTACATATGCAGATAGTGGCACACAACGCAGTTTGCTTGCATGAGGTAGGAGTCCATATATCCCTAGGACTGTATTGTAGTTTACAACTATTTTCTCAAATGCTCTCAGCTTTTAAATGTCCTACGTAATTTGAAATGCTGCTTAATGTTACTTAGCCCAAAGGAAAGTTAATAGTATTTTCCCCCTTTGCTTATACTGTACTTTCGTTTTTTATGAGGAAAAGCTAGTTGTTGCTAACTACCGCTTTTTTTGTTTATTGGCTCTTTTTTTGTTTTGTTTTGTTTTTTTAGAATTTTCATAAAGAAATTAAGTGCAGGGAAATAGAAATTAGATTCTTTTTCTTTTCCTTTTAATTTACATGTCTGGACTTTGAGCTAGAAGTCTGGAAATATATCAGTAGCCAGCAATGAGTCTTTAATTAAAGTGGACCCACAAAAACGTATTAGCCAATGAATAAGCTCAGAGCAGTGACCTTCCAGGATGCATTTGTTATGAACCTCTCTGCAGCATTGAAGTCAATGTGTCAAAAATATAAAAACAATCTAATTTGAGGAACCCATGACTATTGCTGGCTGAGAAAAATGCCATAAGATTAATTTCTGTATGATTTCTATAATCTTTTCTAATGTATATGTTTTCTATTCTCAAAGTCATCTTTATTGATAAGAAAGTGAGGTCAGTTTAGAATGAGCTGTGAGCAGCAGATAATATTGTTTTTCTGAAGTGCACAGCATTTATAGTCTATCCGTTGTCTTCAGAGCAATTGTTTATTGCTATTTTGCTTCTTGTCCTCATCCTTCCTTAAGGTCACAGGATCCCAACGCAGCAAGGTAAAACTATATATATGTGTGTATTTGTCTGGGTCTGAGTTTCGGTTTCTTGTGACATTTACCTTTGTTAGACCCAACATCTTGGATTCTTTTGTGAAAAGGAGGTCTTGAAAATCTTTCTACAAGTTTGTAGCTCCAATGCATTTGGTCTCTTCAGGATCCCTTCCTTTGACACAAGTTTATTCTTCTTGCAATTTAAATGACTCATAATTTGAAATTTTATCCTCCAGCTAACTTTGAGCTGCATACTGTGCTGGGATAAAGGAGTCCAGCCCTTTGGATGACAAACTTTTTAAGCCAGGGACTTCTCATTTTCGGTGCAATGTTCTGACCTTATCCCTCTTGATGTTTTTCAACACCAGTTTTATTACTTGAAAACAGACATGATAAATGGTATTGCTGGTGAGATTGGAAAGAAGCCTGCTTTTCCATTGTGCTAGTAATCACTTCAATTAGTAACTGGAGATTATATTCCATGATTTCAATATTGATTTCATTGTTGCATTAAAGGGAAGAACTAGATGACTATTTCTCTCTTAATATTTTGAATACTGGGAACATTTGCTAAAAGAAAACATTTTGATATAGAATTACAAAATTACTTACATTAATATGAACCTTGTTAAGCTTATGTTTTATTTTCATAAGGCTATATGGTAGGAAAATCAATCATAAACATTCTGTGAAGATGATACCTATAAAGACTTTAGTTTTGTTTGTTTGTTTAAAAAAAAAAAAAGCTTTTTAGGTGGCCAGGTGCAGAGGCTTACGCTTGTAATCCCAGCACTTTGGGAGGCTGAGGCGGGTGGATCACTTGAGATCAGGAGTTTGAGACCAGCCTGGCCAATGTGGTGAAACCTCATCTCTACTAAAAATACAAAAATTAGCCGGGCGTGGTAGTGCACGCCTGTAATCCCAGCTACTGGGGAGGCCGAGGCAGGAGAATCACTTGAACCTGGGAGAAGGAGGTTGCAGTGAGCCGAGATTGCTCCATTGCACTCCAGCCTGGGCGACAAGAGTGAAACTCCGTCTCAACAACAACAAAAAAGCTTTTTAGTTTGTAAGTGTAAACTATTCTACTTTGCCTTCTTTTTTTAAAAAAAAAAAAAGTGAAATATTTGCTGCCAAAATGAATTTTAGACTGTCTTGAAGAAACTATTTTAAAATTCCTTTGTAATTTTTTTTTTTTTTTTTTGAGACAGAGTCTCACTGTGTCAGGCTGGAGTGCAGTGGCAGGATCTCAGCTCACTGCAATCTCCACCTCCTGGGTTCAAACAGTTCCCCTGCCTCAGCCTCCCGAGTAGCTAGGACTACAGTGGCGCGCCACCACGCCCGGCTAAGCTAATTTTTTGTATTTTTAGTAGAGACGGGGTTTCACCATGTTGGCCACAATGGTCTTTATCTCCTGACCTCATGATCCACCCATCTGGGCCTCCCAAAGTGCTGGGATTACAGTCCTGAGCCACCACGCCCAGCCACTTTTTAATTTTTTTAACTCACTGTTATAGTTGGAGGAATATATAGTTCTTGTATCATCATCCTTGCAAATTTCAAAATGTAAATCATGTATATACTATCAGATGCAGCTCTGATCCGATGGATATAATGGTTAATGGCATACAATGGGCCTAACACTTAATAATATATTATGGGCTTAAATAATAGATAATAATGGGTATAATAAGAATTTGGTAGATTTTGATTTTTTATCACGAATTATTTCATATAAAATTTATGTGAATTGTTGAGGGATGAAAATATGAAGGGCTCTCCTAACATTAAGTAAAGAACTGATTTCCTAAGTAGCATAAAAGTTAATGCCTCAAGAATGTGTTGATAGTTGTATGATGGGGCTGGATGGCAGAGAAGGTGTTGCTAGCCAAGAAAACCATTTTACCTTGAAAGAGGAATGCAGTTTCAGGGAGATCGGTTTGATAAATAGGGTCAAATTTAGTGACATTAGAAAGGCTCCTCATTCAGAAAAGAAGTCCGAAAGACGACAAGTGATGGCATCTTAATATTTAGACACTAGGATTCAGGCCAGACTAAGGACAAGAAGTCAAATGACATATGGAGCATGACCTGAGAGAAAGGGCTACCTTTGAACTTAGAATAGTGGACAAGTTCACATGGTGGTGAAACCTGGCAATTAATCCCAAAACAGAGGATACAGACCAGCAGATATGACTGTCTCAGCAAGAGACAGGCTTTTAAAGTGCTGGGAATTGCCACACATTTATAGGTGTAATGCAGGACACCAGATTTGGGGATTTGCGCTTCCTAATGAGATTTTTTTTTTTTTAGTGATCTCCATCTGATTTGGGACTATAATTTATAATTCACACCTAATTTATGTAACATGCTACTCTTAACAAAATACTGTGTATGTGGTATGAAATATTACAAAGCTGAGAAACAGAGATATATATAATTAATTCCCTATAAAGATACTCTTCTCTGAGGTTGACTATGTGACACCAACAAAACCACTGAAAAATTTATTGTTTATAAATGTAGTAATCTACCATACTTTTACATTGAGATGTCTATCTGACATAATTTAGACATAGTCTAATAGTGGAGTTATTCACATAAGTTACAAATATGAAAGGCTACTTGTCAGTTTCAATAATTCTTATAACACATTATATCAAATAAATTTGGAAATAACATAAAGTGTGTGGTAATTGAATTCTATCCCTATACCTGGTTAATTATTAATATTTGCTATAGTTTCTATTTAAATTCTTTCCCTGTAAAATATTCCATAAAGTCATTGAGAAGAGAAACGAAGTAGGTAAAAAGAAAAGTGCTATTATAGGGAAATTTTCCATGAAGAATGCAGTAAAGCTCAAAAAACATGGAAAACAAGGAAAGAGGAATGATTTGCCAGCTCTTTTCTTCTTCCATCATATATATATATGTATTGTTCATATGATCCTGTTAAATTAAAACGTGCCTGATTTAACCTGATTACAAAATTCCCTGTTTCATCTGTAATATAGGTAAATATGCTTTCCTGTAACTACTTATTAAATAACTTTATTGCATATTTAGTTAATTATTTTTTAGGTTTGGAGCTACTTCTCTATCAAAAGCATTAAAAAGAACAGTTAAATCTTATAAAGAGGCCGATGTTAATTGAAAGGGAAGAAATGTTTTACCAGTTACCTGAAAAAAATAATTATTGGAGTTGAATGCTAGATTTAGCTTTTTAATTTTTGCTAAGGGAAATAATAATAAATAATAATGTTTCAAGTCAAATAACATCATTTTTCTGAGCATTATGGGTTTTTCTCACCTAGATCAACAAAGAACTTTGATACTGCAGTAGAACACATTTATTAACTATGATTTTATTAAAAAAACTCAGAAACATTCTTTAGATGGTTACTTCTTTTATTGCTCTTCTCTAAAATCTGAGCATATAGCATTAAATAATAATTTATTGAAAGCATTTCTTTAGAATATTAAGGTACTGTAGTATAGATTTGTTGTTGACTGTGAAATCTAAATTAATGACAGTGAAGCTTAGATAAGCAAGAGGAATGGAATGTTAACTTGTCTTCCAGCCATCTTTCTCAAATACTGGGCAAGCTGCATCTTCCTTTTGGCGAATGCCCAGTTTCTAATTGACAGATGAATTATCTGATGAGTCTGAGGTCCTATTTTTCTGTACTATTGATTAAAGAGAATTTCTTGTGTGTTAAATTCTAAATATGCCTGTGGCAGAGTTGGTAATTCTGTAATAAATACTTAGGAAACCAGCATATTCTCTCAGATGGATCTGAGACACAAATAAAATATTGTCATACCTGCTAACATACTCAAACCAATACCCAGCTCGTATCCCACAGTATGCACCATTAAGTATGGAAGAACCAATTTAGGTCCAAAATGTTTTAAGGATTAATATTATATAGCACTACCCCAATGATGAAAAGTTTTTGTCTGACCCGCCCATGAATCTAACTTTCAATAGAATACAATGTTTTGGTAATGCTACAAGAATGAATGGGCTGTAAGATATACTGCCCTCCATGGCTACATAATTTGAACTTTGAATGGGTTTATTTGGTGCTTTTCATAGTAACAGCATTTTAAATTAAAAAGTCTTCCTGAATCTTAGCAAAGAGAATTTTTAAATGCATAAAAATTAAAGATATAGCTACGGATATAAAATATTGAAACAATTATTCCTTATATCAAGAAAATTTATAATTCTTTAGTTCCTACTGCAGGAGGTATATGGTATCCAAAATATGGACTAAAGCATTAAGAGTTGCTTTTCATGCTATTGAATCATAGAGGGGAAAGAGGGAAGGAATTCTGAGGGCCAGTGTTCTCCAGTACTCACGCTGATTGCCGCAATCTGCCAACTACATTTTTATACAATAAAATTATGCATCTCAAGTGATTATCTCGTGTCTTAGCTCAGATTTCCTGGAAAACACAGGCAAAAGCTTACGTGCTAACACTTTATTGGGGGAAGGGGTGTTAAAATCCCAGGGAATGAAGAGTTAGGGAAATAGAGAAACGATATGGGGAATGAGGGAGGGCAAGTAGAAGATAGAGTGTTCTTGAGCTGATCACAGCTGTTCAGCAGTACAGTGTGTTGCTCAGTTGTGTGGGATGCCTCCTGAGAGACCATATGCATTACAGAACAGAACAGTGCCTCCCCGGGGAAGGAGGATAGGCACTTTATATGCAGGTTCCTTACATCTCCTGTCACTTACTGGTCACAGAGTGTTAATTTCATCATACTTCCTGTTGATATTAACCAGTTCTTCCAGGCAACCCCTGGGGAAGCCAGAGCTGCCTTGAATACAGCCTGTTGAGTGTCCAGGCACCACAGTCTCTCCTTATCCATTAACATGGGGTCTCCTTGGTGAGTGGTAATGATGGTAGCAGCTGGCTTTCATAAGTACACTGTGTGGGGGCAGTCATTTCTAGGGCCATTCTGGCTCAGAAGCAAGGCAAGTAGCCAAGGCTTAGAAAGAAGGGCATAGGTTGGGCTGGGGGGTCCTGGCCTTGACACAAGGAAGATTCCCAGAAAGCACAACCCTCTATATTGTATATGGTAATTCATGCATATGAGTATGTGGACCAAAATAGCAGTCTGTATAGAAGACATGCAGCTGGCCCTCTTTATCTGTGGCTTCCACATCCTTGGATTCAGCCAACTACAGATTTAAATATTCGAAAAAATATTTGCTTCTGTAGCCAACAAGTACAGACTTTTTTCCCTTGTCACTGTTCCCTAAACAATACAGCAGAACAACTACTTACATAACATTTACATTGTGTATTAAGTATTTATTATAAGGGATCTAGAGATTATTTAAAGTAGACAGGAGGATGTACGTAGGTTAAGTGCAAACACTATAACATTTTATATAAGGGACAGATGTTAATATCTGTAGGATGTCCTGGAACCAGTCCCCCACAGATACTAGGAGACAAACATGTATTGAAGCAGCATATATTTGTGCACTTTTCATGTGCACAGTAATGTAACTTCATGTGTTGTCATTTAAAAAATAATCTCAGTTGAAGCTTATACAGGAGCAGATTATGTACAGTAAATGCAAGGCAGCAGACTCATTAAGAGCAGACACTCAGATGGACTTCCTGTGTTTGAATCCCAGCTTGAACTTCTAGCTGTGTGAGCGGAAGCCTCAATTTTTCTATCTATAAAGTGTGGCTAATTATAGTATCTACTTCACAGGGTTGTTATGAGGACTAAATTAGTCAATATATATAAGGCACTCAGAACATTGACTATCACATAACCATCTCTAAATATTTGCTATTATTATTATTATTATTATTAATCAATTTCACTTTCTCTGCTGAAAACAAGTCAGGGAAGCCCATAGATAAACTTTTACAGTGTGGTGAACATAAACAACACAACACAGGAGACCTGGATTATCAGCCAGGTGCTGTGTGACCTCAACCTCTCTGTTTCTCAGCTTTCTGTTCTTTGAACAAAGAGTTTTCAACTAGATGTTCTCAGATGTCAAATCTACCCTTAACAGTTGTGTGGTTTGCTATCCAGGCATAAATTCTCTTCATTTTTAAGGGCAATTTCGCAGTTTCTCTAATTGCATAAGTATTGATGAAAGCATGCAAGTTTTTATCACTTTTTATCATTTGTGGAGGATTGAAAAAGAAAATAAACTCCCTGTGTTTTAGAACAGGAATGTGACACAAAAATGTTTTATAGAAAATAATGTCAGCCAGGTGCAGTGTATCGTGGCTGTAATCCCAGCACTTTGGGAGGCCGAGGTGGGTGGATCACCTGAGGTCAGGAGTTCAAGACCAGCCCAGGCAACATGGTGAAATCCCATCTCTGCTAAAAATACAAAAATTAGCTGGGCATGGTGGCGGGCGCCTGTAATCCCAGCTACTCGGGAGGCCGAGGCACAGGAATCGCTTGAACCCAGGAGGCGGAGGTTGCAGTGAGCCAAGATTACACCATTGCACTCCAGGCTGGGCAGCAGAGTGAGACTCCATCTCAAAAAACAAAAAAAGAAAAAAGAAAAGAAAATGTCTTCTGTACATACATACGTATCCCACCTTTTCCTAGTTTAGTATTTAAAGAATCATGGAACTATACATAACACAGTAAGCTGAAGGGGAAAAAAAAACTATTGAAAGACAAAGAGTAGGGCCTTCCAAGAATAGAAAGAAACCCATGCCATGGAGTCTTGTCAGTTTGATGTGAATTGTCAGAATATTTGACTCCAAGCTTTCTAGGAGCCAACGTGAAATTACATACATTTCACATAAATTACATGAAATGACATAAATGTAAATTACATAAATATAGGAGCCAATATGAAATTACATAAATTTAATAATATAATGAACTTTATATAATTTATATAATATTCATAAATTTCATAAAGTTCATTATAAATATCAATATCATTAAATATAGTATGTAATATATAAAACATTGATATTAGGTATATTAAATATAATACTATTTAAAATATAGTCTTCCTGACTGGGAAAAACAAATTTCTGAAGTAAAATTCAATAGCATTTTTTTCCCCTGAGGATGACAAAAAATGTCCTCAACAATTCAGTTAACACCATTTTTTGACAATTTATACAATAGAGTCCAGTTGTGCAGATGCTACCTGAAGATGGATTAGCATAAAATGGCTACCAAGTATCTGGAAGAATTGAAGAAATACATATGTACCACCTTTCCAGATGGTCTCCAGAAAAATCCTCTTCCCAGCTAGACAGATAATTCTTGGCAGGGAATTTGGGACTGTATCAAATACTTGGAGTACAGCTGTTTCTCAAGAGTTGATCTGGGGTAGGGTTAATAACCATTCATGAAGATCTAGAATTACAAAGACTAGAGCTTCTATAGTTGTGAGTTTTCAAAATTCAAGTAATGAGCTGCTGTGATCCAATCTATGATCAAAGTTATTCTGACTTCTCATTTTCCCACTAAGTAGTCCAACACTCTGGCGCCCTCATGACCTAACCATAGCTTTGTATTCTTAGTGGTCCCAAGTTTTCTTCTTGTTCTTATTCTCTCTTTTGTCAGGCTATGCCAGGAGAGAAAGAACTGCATAGTACTTGCTTTCTGTATTCCAGGCAGTATCCAGTGCTTTTTAAGGCTTAAACAAATAAGTGGGTAAATGACCGCTGTTTTAAATCAATATTGCATTTAGAGATAAACTACATTCCCTCTAATGATGAGTCAACTTAACTTTGCTAATTTGATAGCTTCTGATTTTAGAGTTTCTCATTCTTTTCTTTCCTTGTTATACCTTGTTAATTAAGCTTTCAGTGGTATAGTGTAAATTGTGTCAACTGGACCCTGAAATAGAAAATTATTTCAACTTAGTTGAGTTTTATTGCTTTTGCATAGTTTTAAATTAGTTCTAAATATGCTGTATCCCTGAGAAATAATATTCCACCCAAAATGCAAGTGTATATAATATTGGAAGAATTAAGCTGTAAAGTCACATTACACAGTATATCTAACGTCAAAGCCTCTAGTGCATTAACTGAATTACTTGACCCTGGTTTAGTGTTTCTTTTGTCTCTGTAGATTAGTCAAACTTTGATACCATTTTTACAGAGTGTTAAAGAGACAGCATTAGAAACTTTGCTTATCCTATCAAGAAGCAGAATTCTGGAAGATCATTACACTGTTTGAAAGATCAGTAATAAAGAGAGTGGATAATGATGAAAGATCTGAACAAAAAATTAAATGAGCTAAAGCCCACAATTTGATTATTATTTGTATATGTATAATTCTGAAGACCTCTTTAAACATGAACTGAAAGACAAACTTTTAGAGCTACTAATTTTGTAGCACTTCAAACAAAAAAGATAACATTTGTAATATTTTAGATTGTGATCACAAACTATAGGATATCACATCATTTAGTTCTGTCATTTATTCATGCAAATTTTCTTGAATACCTATTATTTTCAGAGAACTGTACTGGATGTACAGTATGTGTGTACTGGTGTGGTTAAAACAAAGAAAGCCCGCTCTCTTCATGGATCTTCTAGGAAACTTCATGTTTGTTTGTTTATTTATTTATTTAGAGGCAATGTCTTGCTCTGTTGCTCAGGCTGGAGTGCACTGGCGCAATCCTGGCCTCAGGTGATTCTCCCACCTGGGCCTACAGGTGCACACCACGAAGCCTGGCTATTTTTAGTTTTTTGTAGAGACAGGGTCTTGCTATTTGCCCAGGCTGGTCTAGAGCTCCTGGGCTCAAGCAGTCCTCCCACTTCAGCCTCCCAAAGTGCTGAGGTTACAGGCATGAGCCACCATGCCTGGCTCATTTATTTAATTAAAAAAAAAAAAAAGAAAATTTAGGAACCACTCGTTTTAAACAAAGTTGTAGTCTTAGTATTTTCCCATCACTGTGAGTCAACTCTACAGAAATGTAGCTAATCTACATTTTTCAAGAACTTAAATACAACAGAAAAAAATAATTGAAGTAGATAAGTTGTCTCTTATCCATACTTTTGACTTCCCTTAGTCTGAGTTGACCTGTTTGTGCTGCAAACCAAATTATTAGTACAATTTCACTCCCTTTCTTCATTGTCCCCATTGTTATCCAATTAAATCTTCTATTTTTCTGTCTTTTTATTTCGTATAATATTGATATTCAACATCACCTTGTAGGTCGTAACTCTCAGATGCCAATTAAAAATATTTCATGTTGACTTATGACGTTACTAAATTATGGGAAATTTAAGGAGTTTTGTTCCTGGATATTTCTATTCTCTTATAACTTGCTACCACCTACAGTTTCTGAGGAAAATATTATGAAAACCTTTTCTACACTTGTTGAAGTCATGGAAATACAAACAAACAAACAAAAGAACACAAAGTAGATGGGCTCATTTTGTATGATGCACAGATGATAGATTTGGTAGATTCAGCCTGTCAGTCGCTCAGGTTCTGCCCCAGAGGTCAATGTAGCTGAGGCAGGTCCTTCAGAAACAATGTAAATTCCTTTCCTGTAACCAGGCTGCCCTGGTTTAAAATATCTTTTCATCTCCATTACAAAGATAAACTATTAGGTCAGTGGCAAAAACCACAATTACCTTTGCACCAACTTAATATTTTCTCCATCGATGACGAGCAAGGGACAATTGTAATTCCCCTTATTTCAATATTTTTTTCTCACATAAGACAAGTTGTCGAAGAACTAAATATAGTTGTTTCTCTTCAAGCCTTTCTACTTGTTTCCCCAAGTGTTAAAAGCTTGACACACTCTTAGACAAAATGAAATAATATTAGCAATGTTATTACAAACTTCAGTTATAACCAAAAGCAAATCATGATGTAAAATACTTCTGTTCATTACCAGTGATTTGAACATGGGTCTGAAATATGACCATATTCGACCTTGGAAAAACCTCCTAACAAGCTTATTAGGATATGCACTGATAATTCTTGGTTGCTCTTGGCAATCAGAATGTTTTGCCTAAGGGAAAATTTAAATTCTGGAGCTGCTCTTTTTTTCCTCACCTTACTGTGTAACCTTGAAATAACCTTGAAATAACACAAAGACTAAACTGCAGGTGGTGTTTATTTAAGAGCCTTAGGCAGTTTAAGCAGAAGCTGCTGTGTCAGAGAACTCTATTCTTGAAAAGGTGCCTTCAAGGTGTTATTTTCCTGAGTAAGATGCTTATAAAAGATCTATCTACAATTTGTTTAGAAAAGCTAATCTGCAGTTTAAAAAATTGTTTTTACATAATTCATCTTAGTATCTGAAAATTTTCTGGTTTAGCTTTCAGAGTTTTTTTTTTTTTTTTAATTTATAATAAACTTTCCCTATGACAGATTAAATTACATGCCCAGAAGCTGTTCTCAAAGGGCAAAGTACTGGAAAGAAATAATATTAAAGAATCCTGAAGGGAGAGCTTCCAATTTCAGTTCAACAAAGAATAAATTCAACAGAGAGGTTGACTTGATCTCTATGAAATACAGTATTTTTCTGCGTCTAGATCAGTATGTCTTTTTGGCTCAATGTTTTTTTTTTTTTCAAATGACTTTCATCATCTTCCTCAAAACATTGATTATTAAAATTTAGATGCGATGTTAAAAAAAATGAGTGACCTGTCCAGGGAGTTTATTTTTAAGCAAGGTAGTCTGAGATCCTGTCTATTTCTTGGTCCTTGTAAGGTTCATACATCATGTGTTGATTTCAGTTAGGTTACCGGGACCTTACAGGCTACACTGCAAGTTGTTCTGGCAGGTCTTTAACTGATCTTCCCCCTTTTGGAGCACAAATGGCAAATTGTTGTTTTGTTCTGTTTTTTCTCAAGAGTGTGTGGCATGTTGCCATCTTCCATCTTCTGTGAGTTTCCTGATGACTGTCTTTATGTGTTCTATTAGGTCAATAGAAGAACTTCTTCCTGACTCCCTTGCCTCTTTAGTTGATGAAAATGATAGGACAGTTTCATGAGCGAATAATTTCTTATCATTTTCTTACTGAAAAACTCTCTCACAAAAGGAGCTGGTTAAGCTTTAAGCGAAAGTTCCACATGGAGCTCTGGCAATGGGAGGAACATAAAAGATTGTTGGGTCTAAAAGGAAGAATCAGATGTTGCTCATCAGTTTTAAACAACACCTGAAGAGCAGACGAAAGGGTCCTCTTTCAGTTTTTCTGAAACTGTGTTGTAATGACAAAATGGTTTTGTGTGTCTGTGTGGTTCTGTTTCTGTTTTGTTTTTGACTTCACAGGAAGAGGTTTAAACATGAAGGCAAACCTTATAGATGTTAGCATGGCTACATATAAAGCAAAGCTGCCTCTTTTTTTTTCTTTTCTCTGCTTCCATTTAGGCCTATCACATAATTTAAGAAAACATAAAATTAACCACAGGAGCGCTAACTATAGTGTGACAAAAAAAACCCTGATCAATTTTGTTTTCGCAGCACGATATTATCAAAGATTTAAGAAACAAATTTGCCAGCCTCGGCGAGAACTCTCTGGTAACAGCATAAATGTCTGTGTTGGTTGCTTTTGATTTAAAGGTTTCTTTTTTCATTTGTTTGAGCCCATTTCTTTTCCCCCTCCTTTTAGTTCACTTTATTTTTCATATTCTGTAACTAGCAAGCCTTCATTTTTTAAACCTCTTCCATCTTCCAGTGTCTATTTTCTGTATTTTGGATGGAAAGTTTATGGCAGCAAAGCTGTCATTCTGGCTACCTCTGCTGCAGCTCTTCCTGCTCTTAGGTCATATATGTTTTGGCCGTTGTGTTTATGGACATGATACTAATTGACTGTTTCATGTCCCATTGACTAAGCTTCTCTACCACGCCATTTGATGGACTCACTGTCATAGGGCTCTATGCAACTTTCATTCTGCAACTTATACTGCTTAGTTCCTTCTCAATTCTCCAGTGAACTGGATTGCTCAAGTGAATGGTCATACCAGTCTTGAACTTGCTGTGCCTTTATATTTTATTTTTATTTTCTTCTTTATGTTTTCAGTGGTAGCTTAAGTGGAAAAGAATAAACTCCAGCCATTGCTCCAGCAGTACCATGCAGTATCGTTTGTTACCACCAGAGAATACAAAATATAAAGGCACATTGCATCTCTTATTCTTTGGGGGTGACTGGGGAGATCTGTATCATAAATCCACTACTTCGTTGAAGCCTACCTTTTGATTCATATCAGCTTTCAATTTTACTTAAACTTCAAGACATCTCAGTTAATGTTTTTCTGTGATTCAGTGATACTTTGCAACTCGAGCCATTTGCTGAGCAGTATCAAGTTATGGCCATGGCATGGGAGATTATTCAAAACGTGACAAACTTATGCACAAATGTATAAATCAGAAAGTGCAAGTTTCATTGATGAAGTACAGTACTTCAAAACTGTGATACAGGCTTTGAATGAATCAAATCATTAAAATTGAGAAAAAAAAATCCATGCTGATAAACCAGTACCAAAAACATATCAAGAAAACTATAAAGGGGGAAAAAAAAACAATAGTTGAATATGTTAATAATATCTGTTGAAGAACATCGTTGGTGTTGAAATGGTCCATAATGTTGTCATAGAGCCCATACATGAAGAGATGACTAAAAATATGGTCTGTAGAAATCTGTTGTGCTTACTGATACCCTCAACATAAATGGTTGGGATTTGTGTTCAGGAAAAAGAAATGGAAAAGCAAAAGCTTCTATACCAGCAAGCCCGACTCCACGATCGTGGCGCGGCTGAGATGGTGCTACAGACAATCAGTGCCAGCAAAGGTAAGGTTCCTTGAGTTCCCCTCACGAGTGTCTGTTCTTCAGATTTCCTCGTTGCTCTCAAGGTCCTCCCTCATTTCAATTCCACTGACTCATTTAGTCCTGGGGTTTCTGGTTCATGACTATATCAGGTGCCTATTCACAAATACGAGCTCTCATTGTTTACGGAGACCAATGTTAATTTTTTTTTTCAGAGTCTTACTATACAGATTCATTTTCATTCTGTTCTTTAAGTTTTGGAAACTATGTTATAACTAAACCTTAGCAGACTGATCCTATAAAATGGGGGTGCACGAGCTTTTTCTTTAAGGCTGGAGAGTCAATATGTTCAGCTTCGAGGGTTATGCAACCTGTCACAGCTCTTCAACTGTGCCATGTTAGCAGGAAAGCTGCCAGACACAATAAGTACACAAACAGCGTGGCTGTGTTCCAAAAAAACTTTATTTACACACACTTTGTTTACACACATAGGTGGCAAGCTGTAATTTTTTTATGTAATTTATGGTATTTTGCCATAGTTTGCTGACTCTTGATACAAATATGGAGACTTTTAAAGTGAGACTTTTTTAACAATTAAGATGCTGTCATATATCTCAGTAGCCAGCTGTTTCAAGATGATTTTTTGTACATTCATAATAGCTTCTTTGTGAAAACATTTTAAATATAATTTGTAATGGAATGGAAAAGTAATGGTGGTACATTCTGTTATTAGGTACCCTTGTCCTTGAATAGAAGATTATTTATATTTCTAGGATAAATAGAAGTGAACAATGAAAAATGAAATATGTTACACTAAATAAAATTTTGTTATTATCCGAATTACTTAAAATTGAGAATAGTCTGCCTAATAAACCAGATGTCAAACATATTAAAATAAAAGTGATACAATGAAAATGATGAAAGTTCTTCATATATAATACTGTTGAGGGAAGAGGGAGAGAAATTTTCTTTAAAGAAACTTTTAAGTAGCTCATACTTATTTTAATGTTTATTAAACACATAATTAATCTTGAATCTTAATAATTTCAGGTCTCGATATTTCAAAATCAGTTGTCTTCCTATTCTGTTACTTCTATATCTTCTTATGGTTTCAGTTCTTAGATATTATAGAGAATTTATTAAAAATGTTGATGCCAAATATGCATTATTATTATGTTAGCATTTTTTGGAACATAAGTCAGTCTCCCTATGCCATTAAACAGATTGCCTGGGGGGGCATAATAATAATTTTAAAAGTGCAGCATTGGAGGTAGAATAGGTTAATATAGAAGGCGAAATGATATAAGGAACACTACTTTTTTATATTTCTTAGGTGAAACTGGACCAATGGTAGCAGCTACTCTGAAACTTGGAATTGCTATTTTAAATGGTGGGAACTCCACAGTACAGCAGGTAACAGCTTCCAGTCATTCATATAATGTACTTTTCAGACAAATGGACCATATAGTAAAGAACTATTTGTTGTAAAATGTTTTATTTTCTATGTACAATATGGCTCAATTTTAGTTTACCACAGTACTGAAGAGAGAGCAAAAGAGGGAAAAAGTAATTATGTGATAGTGTTACAAATCCAAACATAAAATGATGTCAAAATATCTGAAAACATCAAGTGTGACCTTTTATCATGTCAAATGAATTCTGGTGCTGAGGTATGAACCACTCTCTCACCATGCGTTTACCAAACTGTGGCTCTCTGGTTATGGAACCTGGCAGGGGTAACCAGCTCGTTCTGTTCCCAGAATAAGTGATTATATAGCTTTGAAAAAAGAAAAAATAAAACACTTAATCTCTCCAAAACATTTATCAAAAAATAATGTCTCCTGCTTATGTTTTACTTAAGAAGACCCTCATTACTTAGTATGTATATTCAGAAGTCCTTAGATCCAGAGACAGGAGTGAGAGATCCTGTAATGTATACTTCTTGTCTATGTGGAACTTGTCTGTTTTCTTTATAACTTCAAATATATATCCCACCATCTCCTTTGATCCTGCAAGCCACATCCCTTTGTTTGAAAAAAAACAATGATTGTTTCATTTTTTATTTGACCAAAAGTTATCACACCCCCCGTAAATGGCTATATGGTTTTGTGTCTATGTGCGTATATATGTGTGTCTGTGTATCTGTGTATCATACCTACACTACGTGTATATTTGCTATTTGTGCATTTGTGCGTATATATATATATGCATATGTGCATATACTTTGTGCATATGTATCCTTTACATATTTAGTTTGTATTGCCTTCGCTATCTGAAAAAGATTACTACTAAAATTTAGTCTGCTTAACTGAGCCCTTTTTAGAACAGCATTGATAACAGGAATTGTTCTGCTCTTCCAGATTTGTAGAGAAGCAGTATTCTTATTTCCTTAAACCTTTGAGCATGCTTTCTATCATCTTGTATGTGCTTTTACATTTGAAATCTCTAATAAATTTTAACCATGTCAGAAATAGCTGTTTCGTTATGCTATGTAACAGTAAGCTAACAAGACAAAGCATTGCTTTAGCGTTTTTTTACATGTATGTTTAACCAAAATTTTGACCATAGATTCTGGACGTCATTCTGAGAACAAAGGAGAACATTTTAATAGCCAAATGATTCCTATTGTTTTTTCAATTTACAGACTATGGTAATGGAAACTGAATTTCCGTCTATAGCATTAGCATATGGCAGTCACAACTCTCAGATTGTAATGCTGTTCGGGGTTTTTTGTTTTGTTTTGTTTTGTTTTTTGAGATGTCACCCAGGCTGGAGTGCAGTGGCACCATCTCTGCTCACTGCAACCTCCGCCTCCTGGGTTCAAGCAATTCTCCTGCCTCAGCCTCCCGAGTAGCTGGGACTACAGGCACATGCTACCACGCCCAGCTGATTTTTGTATTTTTTAGTAGAGACGGGGTTTCACTATGTTGGTCAGGCTGGTCTCAAACTCCTGACCTCATGATTTGCCCACCTCAGCCTCCCAAAGTGCTGGGATTACGGGTGTGAACCACCACGCCCAGCCTGTAATGCTGTTTAATGACATCACCTTGGTATGGAAACCTGTGAATAACATCTATAGGAATTTTCTTCCCAGTTAACTTGCACTAGAGTATCTGAATCACCAAATTACTTTAAGAGTGACCAGGAGAGAATTAAGAGTAATATATTACCCCTGACATTTTTGGTGCTTGTGGTGATGTGTAAGGCAACTAACCCTCTTATTCCAAGTTTGCGTAACTATCTTGCTTCGAGGTGTGTTCCTACTTCATGATAAAGATGGCATTAGTCATGTTTGTACGCAGTGAATATTTTCTGTCTATTCTAGAATGGAAAGCCTGTTTTGGTTGTTTATTTATTTAACAAACAATAAGATTTTTGTTCAGTGGCCACGTGGTTTCTATAATTCCCATAGAAAATGCTTGACTACCTCAAGGAGAAAAAGGATGTGGGCTTCTTTCAGAGCCTGGCCGGCCTGATGCAGTCATGTAGGTAAGGACTCACTTCCTTCTTGGGGGTTCTACTCAGTGGTTGTATTTTTTCGAAGCATTTGTTTCTTACTCTGACGATAATTGCACATAGAAGAATAGTTAATGATTAACAACACTTTAAAGTGGGATAATCGGCAGTGTCTTGTTTTCTATCTTGTTTTAAGGGGTTGGTAATATCATAATTAATAACTTACAGAATGGTAATAATGTCTTAAAATAGCTTTCCCATAGTACTATAATCCCAGAGCTTTGGGAGGAAGAGATAGGAGGATCCCTTGAGGCCAGCAATTCAAGACCAGCCTGGGTAACAGGGCAAGACTCCATCTCTACAAAAAGATTAAAAAAAAAAAAAAAGCTAGGCATGGTGGCAACACACCTGTACCATAGTCCTAGCTACTCAGGAGGCTGAGGTGGGAAGATTTCTTGAGCCCAGAAGTTCAAGGCTGTAGTGAGCTATGATAGTGCCACTACTGCAGCCTGAGAGACAGAGTGAGACCCTGTCGCTAATTTAAAAAAAAAAAAAAAAAAAAAAGCCTTCCCCGTGTTTAAATAGGGATCTTGGAGAATTAGCGTATATTCTGCATACTTGAAAATGAGTTGTGTATGCTTTTTTAAAAAAGAAAATTCTATTTAGTTTTATTTAGGAGCTTGTAGGCCATTTCTCATTTTGTGACTAAATGATCACTAACTCATTTGCGGTAATCGTTTTCCATTTTTTTTCAAGATTTAAAATCATTCAGACAGCATTTGACTAAGGAATCTGACACACATTTAATGTAAGAAGCTATTCCAACTGCAAAAACATAATTATTAGAATTTTATTTCTGCACATCTGCTGGCTTTGTAATGTACTCCCCATGTTGAAACCTAAGAATGCTTTCATGTTTGACTTTCACATGGATCATTTCAGTGTAGGCCCAGGGGAGACACTAGTCTGCCACTAAGAAAATACGGTTGGTACGCAATGAATGGAGACATGTTTTCAGTGTACGTTAACATTTGCTTCATCTTCCAAGATATATGGTGTTTAGATGTTTGCTCTCCTGAGCAAAGAAAATGTTCTATTAGTCCTCTAAATGTTTTTTTTTCCCTTGTTATTATAGTGTCCTTGACCTAAATGCATTTGAGCGACAAAACAAAGCTGAAGGTCTTGGGATGGTGACAGAGGAAGGATCAGGTATTAATGACTTACATTAAAAGGATCACCTGTCTCCCTTCCCTCCCTGAAACGAGTCAATTATCAATTACCTTTCAAGTAGAGAGATAAGAAGTTATTTTAAAGTTGATGAAATGCTTACATGACTCATTTCAAAGTTCATAGTTGGACACCGGTCACACCCTAAAACCAACCTTCCACGCCGGTCATTAACTCCTTGTGTGCCAGCCCCATTGCCAGCTGCCTTTCCCCTTATTGGGTTTTCAATGAGGAATAATGGTTGAATGAAGGATCAAGATCCTTTATTAGAGAATTTTCTGGGAAATCATAAACCACATAGATGAACCTTTCAAGAACATTTGACTTTCTTTGGCCACTTTAGCAAAGTCGGGCTCTCAGATTCTTTTATTTCCTTAGGATAGTGATCCTTTGAGCTCCTTCAGTCTACTCTCATTCCTATTCCCTCCTCTTCCCTTCCAGCACAGTGATCCTCAAATCCATACATGTTTGCAAGTCTAGATTGATGAAAGAAATTAGAGACCAGTTATTTCGCTTAAATAATTCTGTGCACAAAAGCAGAGATACACGTGATCTTAGAATTTTTCTCTCTCTAAATAGATGCTGGTATAAACTAGAAAGTTTAGCATACAATGCATTTAAAGCAGAAATAACCTTTGCTGCCCTTTCATTTTAGCAGTATTTATTAAGAAAAAAATCTTCAGTAGTTTTTGGTTTGATTTGTTTTTATTCTTTTGTGTTTGATTTTTAAACTAGTTTTACTCAGGGCCCCGTATGTTTATCTGTTTTTGTTTGTTTTGTGTGGTTTGGATATGTCTTCTTGTCAATTATTAGTTTTGGAACATTGGGTCTTTTATTGGACTAATCTTATTTCAAAAAATAATTTTTTCTCCCATCTGCCATTTGTAGTCTATGTTTATTTCTCTGAAATATTTTAGGATTAACTAATTTATCTATGTATTTTTTTCTTCTCACAAATAGGAAAAACAACATTTCTTATTGTATTTTAAAGTTTATTATTAATACCCATTCTGACATTGCTACCACTATGTGGCTCCCGTGTTTATTTTATTTTCTGCTTGACATTTGGATGTACAAGTGCAGTCAACAAAAATAAGTCATATGGTTACTAAACTGAGTTAGCTACCTTCAAGAACAATCACTGACACCATTCTATAACTTCTTAGGTTTTCTGGCCTAAGGTTCTGGCCTGAGGTTCAGAAGGCCAGACCTTTGAGAAAAGTCACCAGTGCCACTCTAAACCGACTTAGGTTTTCTGGACCCATCTGCAGAACTTGGAGCCACTGCAGATCTCAGGGCCTATCACCTGCCTACCTCCAGCATCTCTCCAAAGTCCTAAGCAATTTTCAGCTATAAAATTTCTAAAAATGAATGAAGTCTCTGTCCAAAGCCTGACTTCCCTGTCTTGGAATTAGAAATCAATTTCATTTTCCCCTGTAGTTATTACCTAATGTTCCAGGGGCTCCTACCGCAAATCCATAGTCATTCTTAGTCGCTGTTCATATCAGCTCCCAAAAGGAATAGCAGCCACTTAGGTTATTTTCCTCAGCCTCCTTTCCTTCGTCAGGCGGATATGGGTTGGAATAACATTTTCGAGTCCCAAGTCAGAAAGAACTTTGTGAGAGTGACCATTCTGATGTGAGAATTCTTTATATCTCTCAAAAGGAGATTGATTTAACTTGTGCATTCTTTTTCAACACATAAGAAAATAATTACTCAAACCGATTAACACGTTTTGTATTATTTCCTTACAAACAGAAAAACAAAAGCAAAATCTCAACTTTTTTTCTTTTTCCCCATTTCCTTTTCTTTCGACTACTGTAAATGTACTACCCTCCCTTCCTCAGTCATCACTCATGAGCGTGGTAATTATTAAAAATGAACTGTCTTTTGTTTATTTGCTCCTTTATTTGTTGTTAGCTTTGTGTACAGACTTGATAGTGACAATTTCCGTGCATTCTTTTTTGTTGTAGACTGTTTTAACAAGTAGATTATTTAATTTCCATCATTATGCATCCTGTTATTTTTTACATTTACACATCTAGCTTTCCTCCTTTTCTTTCTTGTTTCTATGAGGATGTACAGTTATTAGTATGTCAGATATGAAGGGGCAACAAGCATTTCAATTACATTTTCGGATTGGTTTTGTTGCTTTTCAGTTAAAAACCTTTCTGGTGGGCCCAGCGTCTGCAACTGTTGTGTCAATGAATGATCCTAGAATGTGTGCCCTAGTCTCCCTGTGGCGTTTCTGTCTTGAACATGCTGTGGCTTTATGGCTGTACTGATTGGTGCACGGGAAATCGGTGACAGATTCAAGGAGGACGTGACAAGCTGAGTCTCCTCCTCGCCAGTGTGCTCTGCCAGTTGCCTTCCAAGTATTGGGAGGCCTACTGAGTTTTTCCTCTATTCCTTTGAAAATCTGACAGATTACAAATCATTTAACATCAAAACTAATTTTTATTTTTGTGACTGAATTCAAAGAGCAGTAGAAACAATAGCAACTATTTGCTCCTCAAACTAATATACTAGCAAAGATGCCATTAGTAATTCAAAGTAGTTTCTGAAAGACATTCTATGCAGTGGAAATAAGGGATGAGATTTTAGATAGTACTTAGGACGCCAACAAGGCTTCCAAGATTAAATTGTGCTTTCTGAATACATGCTATTGCCTTAATCAAGAGACCTATTAGGAGCATATGTAAGGGCCACTCATTAGCTCTATTAATATTACAGTATCTTCCAGATTGTTTTAAGAATTCCTATACAGACACTTTTGGCATGTTTAAATATATCTGTTTTGAGATCACTCTTTTGTTTAAGATTCTGTAAAAGTTAAAAAAGCCTACATACACTCACAGGAGAAGAAAAATCAATCATCCCTCTTGGAAGGGATAGAAAAGGCTGAAAAAGCAACATCTGTTAGTGATGTCACTTGCTTCAACACTTGAGGCTCAGAGAGCATGGGCTTAGCACTGAGAAAATAATCTGTTGTACCTGAATCTTCTACATCCTTGCCCACTGTTTTTATTAAGCTAAGTCTCTTCCTAATGACGACAATATGACCATAAATTATATAGCCATGGAAAACGTATAAGCTCAAATGCATGAACTTTTGATACCCGCAACCCTCCAATGAGGTAGCTATTACCTTGATTTTATAGATAAGGAAACAGAGGAACAGAAAGGTTTCTTGACTTGTCCAAGGTCACACAGCTAAGCGGCAAGGCTGAGACTGAAATGCAGGCATTCTGCCTCCCACTGTTTAATTTACAGATCCCACGAGTGAAGTCACTTCCCTCCCATCTGTTCATATTCTTCAGGGGCTTACTTCATGTCTACCATTGCCTTAGGTAGCATTTTTTTTTTTTTTTTTTTTTTTTTTTGCCCCTTGACTTACTGTTTGTTTATTTAATTCTTTTTGAGATGGAGTGTCGCTCTGTCGCCCAGGCTGGAGTGCAGTGGTGCAGTCTCATCTCACTGCAACCTCCACTTCCCGGGTTCAAGCGATTCTCCTGCCTCAGCCTCTCAAGTAGCTGGGATTACAGGCCTGCCACCACAATTGGCTAATTTTTGTATTTTTAGTAGAGATGGGGTTTCACCATCTTGGCCAGGCTGGTCTTGAACTCCTGACCTCAGGTGACCCACCCACCTCGGCCTCCCAAACTGCTGGGATTACAGGCATGAGCCACCACGCCTGGCTGCCCCTTGACTTATTGTTCTTTGTCCCTTTCCGGGACACAAATCTCTTGCCAAATTTTGCATTTATTGTTAAGTTTCAAAATTGCTTTTGAACTTTTTATGGTTACAAATGTTCCTAACCTGGTATTGAGATGCCATGAGGAACTGTGTGTTTCTTTGAGGTTTGTATCTACAGCTTTCAGATGAATTATTTATACTGTTTTTTTTCTGCTGCCATTATTGTCATGCAAGTTTGACCTCTGTCTCCTTTTTATACTAAGTTTCTCTCATTTCTGTGAAAGCCTGAGCCTCCCAGTTTTTTTTTTTTAAAGGTTCTTCAGGAAATGTGTTAGTTTGTAATATGCTCAATGCTGTCTGTGCTGTATATTTTATATTTATATGTGTTTTCTTTTAATGACTTAATCAAATTCAAAAACAAAACCTGTATGAATATTTAAAATGTCATTCCATTCTTGGATTTTTAATTTGCTTTTTTATCAGAACCATTAACCCCATTACCAAATCATTATGACATTGAAAGTGCAATTTTTCTGCTTTCAAAATTCTTCTTGGAATATAGCAGAAGATACTGAATTTTTTTTTTTTGATCATGAGGTAGTCCTGGACTTCATAAAAGCAAGACAAAGTTTTGAAGTTGATCCGATTTCTTAAAAATAGTTTGATTTTTTAAAATCCTCACTACAACATTAACTACCAATTAACCTTCCCCACCTTTCTATCTGTATCTGATAATTTGTTTCACTGAGGTTCTTACTGATATATTTATAATCATCTAATCAAATTTATGTGAAGTTGAAGCAACACAAATTGATTAAGCAAAGAGATTGAATTGATCTTTAAGTATTGGTTACCCTAACTTTTTGATACTCTTGATTGCTTAATTATTTATGGGCTACCTTTTCCTCAAGATTTTCCAAATACTTTCACAAGTGTAGTTTAGTATTCTGTGTACCTTATTCTGCCATTCTTGTGGGTAAATTTTCTCTTCAAGGAAAACTTGTGATGTTGGTTCGTGGCACCAAATACATTTTCTTAACATCCTTGCAGTTTTTAAACTTTGAAGCGCTCATTTAAATTAGAGTGACTATTATGTGCTAGATGGTGTCCTAGGCATTGGAAGCAATTTAGGAGCTCAGTACTGTGTAGACAGACTTGTAAACAAATAAATTCAGAACAATGCTTTATGCATATAAAGGAATTTAGGTGGAAGTACTTAGCGGCTGGGATGTTGCGGGGCTGGGGGAGACGTGTAGTCTGAATTAGGAATCAAGGGGGTGGATAAGGAAGGCAAAGACATTCCAATGCGAGGGAACAGCATATGCAAAGTTCAAGGTACCAAACACGGCAGAGAATGGTGACTAAGCTGTTATGAAGGAAAATGATCAGACTAGAGGATGGAAACATAGTACCTGGGAGGCCACGAAGGACCTTCTCTGCCCTGCCAAGGAATCTACACTTTATCTGAGGCCACAGAGAGCCATTAAATACCACTTAAGTGATACTATGTGTATTGTTAAATGATCCACCTAGAATTGAGTTCCTAACGTTTATTGTTCAAATAATGCTTCTGCTAGACTCCACTAACAGTACAATGTAGATTTCCCATTTCTCAGTCATGCTACTAAATAGAAATTGACTCCTCCAAAGATAGTGACCAGCATTATTATTTCCTTCATGGCAGTGGGAGAGCTCTGAGTTATGCCTAATGATAGATTAGAGGGAATTCTTCAGAGTAGACTTTTCACAGTTAAAGAAATCCATCTGTTTACCAGGGAAGTAGGATAATTGGAATGGTGCTTTTGAAAAATTACTCATAGGCAACATTGTGTGAGATAGGTATCAGAGTCTCAAGGCAGGGAGATCAGTAAGGATGCTGATGAATGGAATGGATGAAAAACAATAAGAATTTCAGTGAGAGTCTTGACAGCTGAGAAGCTTAGGCTTTGGCTATAAGAGAAACAAGATGCAATCACATTTGAAAGCAAAGGGATTTTTTTTCCGCTCCAGCTAGTTTAATTTGTTTAAGAAGTTAACAGAATGTACTTTAATTCTGTTATCCGTGGGACAAACCTGATTTATTTCACATAGTGGTCATTTTCGTTGTCTTGGCATCGGAAATAGGAATGCATTGTATACAACGCTGTCAGACTGTTAACTAAATTTTAACAAATGCACTCTGGAATTTATAGAACAAACAACTGTCATACAACCTACAGAAATTCTGTAACTTAGAAATTTAGGTCATTTGACCTAAGGCTTCACATTTATTTCTTTTGTGCTTTGTAGACTTCAAAGCACTTTTAATTGTTTGATCCAATTCGATTCTCCCAACAGTCCTATGAAATGAGGAGTTGAGGAGTTTGTTCATCTCTATATCAACATGATGAAACGAAGGCTCAGAACAGTGAACTGACTAAAGTCATATATCTAGCAATGGTTTTCCTTTGATTCTTAAATTGATGAAAACAAGCACGAGTTCACAATTATTTAAATAACATATAGTATATGTAATGATAATCAGTCAAAGATTTTATTAGTTACTGATGGTAACTTTACAACATTTAGAAACTATAGCACACTGAATTCAGAAAGGCCATATAATACTGAAATTATCTGTTTATTTCCTGTATCTTCCATTAGACTGTGAACTTCTTCAGGTTCGAGATTATGTTCACCTCACAAGGTGCCTGCCATAGAAGAGTGAATGTTTTTTGAAGTTTACTGGAATCATACTCTTTACCAGTCGATAGCTATATGACATTGGTTATTTAATTTCTCAGTTGTTCACTGAACCACAAAATGGCATTACATTTAGCTAAGTTACAGGATTATAATAAACCTGAATTGAAATGATGAGATAACATATCTAGCACAATGCCTAGCACACTGTAGTCACTAACTAAATATTAACTGTAAGCTTATTTTTTAAATTTACTTTTTAATTGAATTGTAATATAATTGAAGCAGTCATACTTAAGCCGCTTAAACAGCAATATTAAAACTTCCCACATGGAATAAAATACCTGACTTTTCACTATTTTAAAATATCTGTAGCATTTTTCAGTTTTGGCAAGATGCAGAATCGATCTTAAGGTCCCCTCAAGATCCACAATCAGCATAATTTCCTCTATGGCAGCGGGGTGCTTTAGAGTCAACTGTATAGATTATAGGGGATCCTTTAATGTGGCCAGTCCTATGCTTCATGAATCACCTTTTACCTGTGCATTATTGTAGATATTGACATGACAGGACCTGATAAAGAGAATGTTAGTCTTTTGGAGTCTATTTATCCTAATTCACCAATTGTAGGTAGAATAGTAGCCTTTAAAAATTTGTTAACTTTATTAGATCTTTAAAATAGGACTTACTGTTTCACTCGTAGCTTGGTTAAATAAAATCTACCTAGATTATTTCCAAGAAAAAAATGTAATTTTGAGAACATTTTAATCCATGAAGATGGTGTTCAGGAGATATAAACACAATTAATAAATTCAAATCGCTTTATTCAGCAGCTTGGCATGATGTTTCCATATTTTTTAGTATTATTGCCACTGCACCTAATATATTAACCTTTCCACAATTTACAAAAAATTACCACAGATTATGAAGAGCCAGTGACGTAGACAGGGTACGTGTTATCTTTATTTTATACAAGAGAAAATGAAGGCGCAAAGAATGAACTCAGAAGCAGCAACAATATTGAAATACCTCTCCCTTTATTACAGTATTAAAAATCTTAAGCCTCTTATAACAATGAAACCAAAGGGATGTCCTTCACAATATGTACCTTGAGCCCTCAAGCAGCAATTACAAATCATAATTTACCAGTGTAAGAGCACTTTCAACTACATGTTACTCCATTCCGTTATTTGTTATTGATCTTAGTTTCCATCTTACAATGGAATTTCTTTTGCACACATCACAAAATAGACTGCTGATCCTGTACCTTCTGCAGACATAAAGCCATCATCCATCTCTGTTACTCTACCACTTATTTGCAGCATGGGCAATGGCAGCATTTTAATCAGATAGGAATGTCTTCATTAAGCAACAGTACCCCAGCTTATACCTGGTATCACCTGATGGTAAACGAAGGCCTGACTCGTCCCCTCCCTAACCCCTCCCCTCTTCCCATTGTTCTGCGATGTACGGTGTGTCCTTATATAAGTGAAATTACTTGTACGTGTTTCGGTATACAGTCAAGAAAATACTGTGTGTGTCGACAATAAATAAAACCTTATGTTATAAATCATTATGCATTGTGCAGAGCATTTTTAGGTACACAGGTAGATTATATTTATTTCAGTGTTTTTCTGAATACTTTCTAGTAAGGGTTACTTCTTTCACGAATATATGAACACTTAAAGTGTGTACATGGTTTATTGAATTGATTTGTTTTTTGAAAAAAAAATTGCAGATGGGCTCACAGGGAAAGAATCAATAAGCCTATGTAATGAACTCATAATATTTTGATTTAAATATCACTTTAAAGACTCTTCTGATTAAGGTGACTCATGAAAATGGAACTAAGTATCACCAATGAAGAGTTTAGTGCCTTTATTTGCCTAAAACATTCTCCCTTTCGTTTCCTATCCTGTCGTGAATTTAAACACTGAGGAATGGACTTATCAGCCAATTATGGGAGATTCAACACAATAATGTGCCTATAACACTTAAACTTGCCACGTCTGATTTGCATACGTGGTGATTTTCACATAGTCACCAAATTTCATATCTTGTGGGCTAACAGGGAAATGAGTACAGTGATTTTATGTACTTTTTTTAATGTTTATATTAGTTTTCAAAATGGTTTTGCTTCCTAACCCTACCATTATATGAAGCCTCTCACTTTGAAAGTCACAGACTGCGGACTGGTAAGTCCATCAGCTCTCTGTCACTGTGATCATTCATAATTTCACTTAAAGTAAACATACGATCATTGCCTCATTTTCTTTCTCAGCCGAAAGTATTTATTTCCATTCTGTAAAAAGTTCTTTTTTTTTTTTTTTTTAATATGTAAGTCCATTCATTCACTGGCTTTTTTGTCATTTTGCTTTCTAAACAAATTTAGATTTTGGAGCAGCTGCTCGTAATGTGGAAGTGTTTTTTTTCCCCCCACGGACACTTTCTGTCTTGAAAATCAGCTTCATTTGTGTGGTGCTGTTCTGTGTTTGTTTCTTTCCTTGTGTTTTTGCTTTCAAAGTAACTTGTGATCAAGATACCTTTAAATTGAAATACAAGTAAACTGAGCCCTTTTCTGAGGTTTTCTCCTTGCCCCAAAAATATTTGTTAGTGTTGGATGATGCAGAGGAACTTCTGTAACTAGGGGACGCCTTTCTTTTCACCTTTCTTTATTAGTTTTAGCTCTCACAACACGAGCCACCAAAGTCTGTCTTTTGGTTTCATATTTAGAATTAAGGTTGTTTGCCATTTCCTCCTCCTATGGAAGTAATGCTCAAACCAGTCACATCTCTATTTTAGATTTCAGAAATCTTTCTTTTTATTCAGTAGTCAACCTGATAACAAAGTTAATTAAAACAAGTTAATCAACAATTTTCTAGTGATTTACAGCTTTCACAAAAATCCATGAATTATTCTTTAATAAAAGAAACTCTTGGCCCCGCTTTTTTGGATACACAGAATGCTTTCCATTGAATCATTTGGTCATAATCCGGGTACAAAGCAAATTTAACACGTGTGAGAGATGCAGAAAAAGGTCCCTTCTATGTACACCTTGCCAAATACAAGAACATAAAGAAAGAAAAAAGCAAAGTTTAAGCCTTTAGGTCATTTGTAAAATGTTGCCAAACCCATGCTGCTACTTTTAACAGAGAAGTCTGAGTTTTAAAATTCAAACGTTCTTTTCTTACAAAGAAAAAGTGCCTCTATCTGCCAAGCGCATGATCTTATGAGCTTCAGATAGAAAAGTGGCTATGACTTGTGACTGTTTTTGGTTCAGAACAATGCTAGATCAACATGCAAGTTGTATGGAGGTGGGGACAGAAAGGGAGCGGCAGGCTGGGGTGGCTGGTAATGTTTGATCCCTCTGGATTTCCCACAGGAGAAAAGGTTCTGCAGGACGATGAGTTCACCTGTGACCTCTTCCGATTCCTGCAACTACTCTGTGAGGGACACAACTCAGGTTTGTGAGTCCCCGGAACTTCTGATGATACTAAGGCATAAATAATGTTTTCAAGCCAGTAATAACAAGAGCCTGTTAGTTCCAATTATGCATCGTTCTAGAGACAACAAATCATTCTAGAGCATGACTCTGCATTGGGAACTGGGACGTTTTATATATTGCTTCCCTGCTTTCACAGTCCTCGGATATCCATTTCACTTGAGTCTTATCAATAGTTTTGATGTTAGGGAAGACACATGAGGCTGGGTGCGGTGGCTCACCTGTAATCCCAACACTTTGGGAGGCCGAGGTGGGAGGATTGCTTGAACCTAGGAGTCCCAATATCAGCCTAGGAAACATAGCGAGACCCCCATCTCTACAAAAAATTTAAAAAATTATCCAGACATGGTGGTGCGTGCTCATAGTCCCATCTACTTGGGAGGCTGGGGCAGGAGGATTGCTTGAGGCCAGGAGTTCGAGGCTGCAGTGAGCTGTGATTGCCCCACTGCACTGGAGCTTAGGCAACACAGCAAGATCCTGTCTCTCAATAAAAAAAAAAAAGACAGAGGATTTATGAAAAACATATAAATAGTTATAGAGTAATATAGAGTATCATTTCTTTTGCACCACTTCTCTTTACCTTGAGCGTATACATACTTCATTGTACTAGTTAACATAATGTATCTCCATTACTTGTTTACACATCTAACTCTCTACTAGGCTTGTGCACCCCTGAAGGCAGGAACTCCATCTTAATTTTATCTTGGCTGACCCCAGCACTTTGCACAGTACTGAGGAACAAGTGATTAATGAATAAATAATTTCCTTCTTATATCCTCAAGGATAGCAACCTTTTTTAGTCATTCGTTTGCCCAGAGCTCTAGAACTAGGAATGAAGAAACTGATATTAGCAATATCTGAGACAAAAATTGAATATTGATCATCAATGGAGCACCCAGATACACTTTTGGGGTGATCACTTTTTATGGAAAATATAAATTATTTTCATAGTAAAACTATTAGATAAAAACACTGCACTAACCCACAATGATTTTGCCATAGAAAGCATTTGCCTTTGGAGTTCTTAGAATGACTCAACTTGAACTTCTGAGCAAGCATTAATAACATTTTTTTATCTTGCATAGATTTTCAGAATTATCTGAGAACTCAGACTGGCAATAATACAACTGTCAACATAATTATCTCCACTGTAGACTACCTACTGAGAGTTCAGGTATGTTGCTTTCCATATTAGTAACAAATTAAAAGGGTTGGTATGTTGAAACAATACGGCAGAGTTTTAATGTGTTTTGGTTTATAACTAGAAAGGAGTTTTTGAGATAGTTTATCTCTGATCACAATCTCTCAGCAATTCTTAGAGCAAAACAGCCACTGTTATCTCTGCTTCTGAACGTGCCTCCTACTTTTGCTCATTATTTTATTTCTGTAAGTAGAGATTTTTCGCCTGTTTTTTTAGCTTGATGGTATTTTAAAGTCATTTTCATTTTGTAAAGCACTTTTATACTCTGCTCCTTCTTCTACAGTTGTTAGACAAATTGGGGAAGAATATTTGGAACATTTGTAGGAATAGGAAAGAAAGGCTTTGCAACTACTACCATACACTTAAATTTGATAGTCTAAGGTCAGTTCTTTTCAGCTGTCCTAATATTTGCATTAATTTTCACACCACATTGCTTAAAAATCTCTGATATTGTAATCATATTTGAGAACGTTAATCAAACTGAATTGAAGACGTAGGCCTCTTAAATAATGAGAGCCCTGTACAACTTTTTTCCCCTCATTTTATTTATAAGCTAAACCAGGCACAGTATTTTTAAAACTATAAATGCAGACTTTCAGCTTTTTCCTTAATCTTTGAGTGTGTAAAATCACAACTTTTTTTTTTTCTAACTGAAAGCTTAATGTGGTGGGGGAAGGTGCATTTTGAAGTCAGTACACCAAGAAGTGTTGCTGAAAACACATTTGTCATTTTAAAAATTGTCTGAAAACCCAAATGTAGTTCACAGCTCAACTAAATTGGATTATTTACTTATCCAACCAAAATATCTTTAAAATGTATGTTATTGTTAAATACATCTGGTTTATAGAGATTGATCTTATTTAGATATTTGTTTACAATTGTTAGTATTTACAAATTTACAAGCAATCCAACCAGTTTCCTCAGGGACAGACACAAAAGCCATGGATATCAGCGAGTTCTCACTGATGCAATGTTATTAGTTTTGTTGGAGAAAATGGAGGCCAGATGTCGGTACCCCAAAAAAGATTGTTCCATGATTCATCTATTTTCTGTGCTCACATAGTAAACATCTAATTTTGCTCATGCATAAATATGCTCCAGTCTTAATGAATTCTTATGTTTGTGAAGTTCAAGGTTATCAGACAGTAATTTTTAAAGCTAAGTTTTCTTCTTCTTGTCTTCTCTTCAGTTGTTAGCTATATCTAAGAAGGAGGTTCACATATTGTATGTTTAGGAAATTCATTGAAGAATGATATTTACTTCACAGATATTTTTGTTTGCTACCATATCTATTATTTAAAATACTTCTCAGGCATAAAGTCCAAGACTGGTTAGTCAATGGTAACTTTAGAATGTGACTTGATAATAAATAATATCATCTCTATTTCCCAGGAATCAATTAGTGACTTTTATTGGTATTACTCTGGGAAAGATGTTATTGATGAACAAGGACAACGGAATTTCTCCAAAGCTATCCAAGTGGCAAAACAAGTCTTTAACACTCTTACAGAGTATATTCAGGTAAACATTTAAACATGGCTGCTATCTGTAGCACTGAACTCCATAGAAAAATGCAGTATATCTAGAGTAGTTTCCATATCTCCTATTGACCCCTTTCTGAGTTTCTTTGCAAATTGCTACAATTAAAATATTAGGTTGAGATGTGAATTTATATGGAATGAAATTGCTTCACCATTTGGCAGGTTGAGATATGATTAACTCCTTAGAGGCATGGGCTGTGATGTTAGCTCTATTGTACCTCCAGGGCCTGGTATATGTATTAAGCACTTAGTAAATATTAAGGAAGGAAGGGCGAGCAGGCACAACATTTAACCATTCTTTCTGGTATTCCACTAAAAGTGGGAAGAAGTTTCATAGAAACTTAAGAAAGAGAAGAGTGTTTGAAAACATCGCATATGTATATTATAGATAAAATTCCAAATAGCGTATAGAATATTCTTTTCTTTTTTACATCGATTTGTTTTATATTCTCCTTGGACTAAGCTTCTAGCCTTAACTTCAGATTTTTTAAAGATTTTATAAAATTCTGGGTTTTTCTGCAATCACCAAAACTTTGCTTGATGACCAGTCATCTTTCCTTTCTGTCTTGTCTCAGTGGACATGTTACCCTGAATCATTCACTATGTTTGACGTGCCCCATGCTAAGGATAAAACAGGAGGGAGAAACTTATAATTGGCTTTGTGAGACTAAACATAAGCTTGTGGGGAGAAGAAAGGTTAAGTTAAAAATAAATTGTATCCCAGGAGCGTAACAGTTACAGCTGTTTGAGTAAATAAATGACTCATGGCCAAGTACAGCCAACCAAGAGTAAGTGCTGTAGAGGTAGGAAGACCTCCTCCAGGCTCACTCGCCTCTGCATTCAGTCCCTTGGAAGCATGGCACTTTTTCTATTTTTTGCCTTGGTGGGGAAGAGGAACCTTATTTCAGCATTTCCAGATGGAAACGTCACACTTGATAATTCTAATAACATTTCCTTTAAAATCAAATAAAAGTGAAAGCTTAAGTCAGTTTTGGTCTACTCACAGTCCCATTTCCTTACCTCTCCTGGCTTCCATTATTGCCTTAGTATTCTCATGCATGCCTAGAATGATACCAGTACAACAACATTCATGTGTCATGTCCTGAATAAATAACAGGATTGACTGATGACATTAGCAAGCCACTGGATTTTCCAGAAATGGGAATCAGGATGATTTCTATAATATATTCCAAATGAAACATAACCGCCATTTCAGCTAAGAGTAGGCATTTCTTGGTTCCTAAAATAATTGAGATTCCTGAATGTATCGAAATCTAGAAGCATCCATTGAGCTCTTACTATATGCAAAACTCTAGGGTGTTGTCATAGAACACAGATTTCTATGTGAATGTTTAAAGGATATTGGATAAAGTCACATGGCTTATTGTGCTTGGTTCAATAAGAACCAAAAAAAAAAAAAAAAAAAACAGAAGTAACAAGTAACTTCTCTTATTACTTATTTTTTATATGACATTTTAAAATAACAATCGTATCTGAAATATGTATTTTGGAATAATTTTAGTATTCAGAAAAGTTGTAAAGATAGCACAGAGGGTTTCTGTATATGATTCACCCAGCTTTCCCCAATGCTGACATTTTATATACTCATGGCACATTTGTCAAAACTAAGAAATTAACATCGGCACATCCTGTTAACTAAATTACAGGCTTTATTTTGATTTTACTAGTTTTTCCATTCACGTTATTTGTTTTTTAAAATTCTGGGATACAATCCAAGTTACCACATTACATCTAGTGAAATATATTTTAGAGAAGCTTGCCTTAGTGGTATATCTGCTGATAAATATTGATACTATGAAGATAAGCTTATCATTAGCTTCGTGCTGCTTCTGGACTGCCTTTTAGATTACAGCATTGCGTATTGCTTTATTATTCAAACTTCTACTAACTATAGAAAGTTATATAAGGGGGAGATCCAACACCATTGAAATAAATGGAATTACCTATAAGATTGTAATCCCAATTTAATAAAAGGGGAAGAATTGTTTGAGTAAGAGGACGTTGTATTGTCAAGGTTCCTACAGTAAGACCATGAGGTAGTTGTTGAGAAAAGAGAAAGTTTGATCTGTCCTTGGCACAGGTCCTTCTGGTAGTTAGCAAGGGTTTTCCATGTTGCAGGTACATACGTCATGAGAAAAAGAAAGCAAGGCACCAGACTAGGGAGTTTACAGCTCCCAGAAGCTGAGGACCTAAGGTTGAGCAAGCCCTGCAAAGGACATTCTGTGTGTTTCAGGTTTTAAAAGAAAAAATGGGTACTTTGGCTTTGGGCTTGCAACTCTGTCACATGAGGGTTGGCCAAACAACTTTTGGTCACCTAGGGGTTGCAGGAGAGCACAACCCCTTGTAATGCTTCAACTTTTGATTTAAACCTTAACTATCACGGGAAGAAAATTATTTCTGACTTGAAGAAAAAACAAGTTTATTTTCCTAAAAATGGCTATCTAGTGTTCACCTCTTGCACTTTTCCTCCTCCCTAATTTATATGCCATTGGAATACCAAGCTGACACTGAACATCGACCACAGGAAAATCCTAAAGATCTATTGCTTTCAAACCAGAGCTGTAATAGCCAGTTGGGACTAATTATAACCAGGGATGAAGGAAACTATAAAGCTACTATATCTGGTACATTAAATGAGCTGGATTTAATGACCTACAGATTAAAATAACCTGATTCCTTCTCACCACTGTCCCTTCAGACTTGCTTTGTCGACCATTTCTTTACCACTAGAAGGAATCTTGTGCACTGGCCACTTTCAGATAAATAAAATCATGTCAGTCACTTTGTCACAAGAATAATCTCATTTCAGTAAAACTTCCGCTTACCCTTGGGCCTGATTTTCAGCTGGAAAACCTAGAGTGAGGGTGCAGGCAAGAACTCCCATCTGGATGTTGTTCATTCTGGAAGGAGTCCAATCTAGGCTTTTTTTACTCTCCCCCCTGAAGGTTCTTCTCTCTCTCTCTCTCTCTCTTTCCCTTTCCCCTCCTGATTAACCCCAGGCTTCCTCTGGGTTGTTGCTGTGGGAGAGAGGAGGTATGGGGAAGGAAAGGTCTCTTCCGGGGCACATGTAATCCCAGAGTGCACCACGGAGCTGGCCCTCTGGTGTGGTGTGTTGTATTTTTTTATCTAACGTGCGAGCCTGGCCCTCTTAGTCCTCCAGTGCCTGGAAATGACTCTTTTCCCATCCAGTTTAAAGTTATTCAATCAGACCTCAAGCATCTGGTGGCCCCCATCCACCTTGGAATTATGTTACCATTTCAGACTGATTTCAGATGGGGCAGAATGGCCCCTTCCTGAGTAGTCCATATAAGAAACACATCTTTCTTGTCATATGCTGTCTGTCACACTTTCTAATACCAGACCTTATGCTACCCAACTTCAGAAGACAGAAACTGAGCTCACATGATGGTTCTCCTGAAGCCTCTTCTCTCACTTGGTGTAAGGGGATGCAGAAGTAACGAAATGGAGAGGCTCAGCACACGGAGAACCCCCTCCAAAGTTTCCCCCTTTTCAATTTCAACCCCTTTGTATCCTTAGAGTGGAAATATCTATTTTTAGTCACCCCTTTTGCAGGTAGTGAGTCTACTGCTTTTGTAGACAGTCAGTCGTTCTCATAGTCATCTGAGAATACATAGTCAGTATCTCAGCTGTAGGGCCTCAAGAGATGCTGAGACAGGAAAAAGTTCTATTTCAACATCTTGGATCTGGCCATCTCTTCCAATCACTTGTTTCTAGCATAAGATCTGAAATGTTTTTATGTGGCCTGCAATTTAAAGGTATTATAAGTTATTTGCCTAAAGGAATGAAGGAATTTGAAGTTAAGAACGGTATTTTATGTACTTTTTTCCTTTCTAAGTAAAATCCCTGTTATTTATTTTCATGGTTGATGTAGATGGGTTTACAAAACTGAATGATGGTAGAATTTTTTCATTGGAAAGTGAAAACAGAAATTGGCTCCATGAAAACAGTCTGCGTGCTACAGCGGATCCACCCTAGTATTGATACTTCAGAAGTGTCAGCTAAGAGAACAAAGTTAGGTTTGTTAAAAGATAAACTTAGGCACAATAACATCTTAACAAGTTTATCTGAGCATTCAACTATTTATGAATGGAGCAATACCAGAACACTAATGGTTCAGCACTTCACCAAAGGTGGGGGCACTTTTATAAGGCGTTCCTGGAAGCAAGACAAGAAATTTGATTGGTAAAAGTGCAAAGTCCCTAGTTAGAGGTTAGTTGGCAGTTTCTGACTGGTGAACTCTCTAGTTAGAAGTTAGCTGGCAGTTTCTGATTGGTTAAGCTTAAATTTACATTGAGTTGGGATTTGGTTTTCTTAGGGAGGAACGCAAGACACTGGAGCCATCTCAGCCTAATGACTCCCAATTAGTTATTTTAACCACTTCCAATTGCCTTGGATTCTGGATTCGTGAAATTAATAAGCAAGTATTACTCTTTTAAAACACGTCATTGGTTGTACCATTTGTAAAATAGTTGTTCAATTAAGAAAACGTTGAAGAGGATTTTTTTTCTCTATATGAATGCTTTATCCAGGTTACTATTTAGGAGTAAGAGGTAATCACCTCTCATCTAAAGCATATTCTCAGATTCTTTTGAATACAAAATAGTGACTATTGATTGATTTGACTAAATAGCCAAAGCACCCAGACCTTATTTTTTTTCCTCTAAATAGAGGAGATCAAAGCCAGACCAAAAAAAAAAAATGATTCACAGAATATAAAAATCCTTGAGAAACTTTTTTTGGAATATATTAAATGTTTTAAAGAGGAACGTATTTCTCTCTTAAGGATCATTATCATCACTGTATCTCCTTCTTTCACTTTGAGTTCCTATCTTTTCAGATAACGTGCTAGCAGTGAAATATATCAGCACTAAGTCAACTTTTCCCCTGTTATTGTACAGTTTGTTTTGGCAAATAAATTATGAGGAATAATTGCCGTTTGTCTGTTTATGCTCCAGGGTCCTTGCACTGGGAATCAACAGAGTTTGGCACACAGCAGGCTGTGGGATGCTGTGGTCGGCTTTCTTCATGTGTTTGCCCATATGCAGATGAAGCTGTCGCAGGTAAACTAACTAACTGCCTTCCTCTCTCTTAAATGACAAACTGGAGACTGTAATCATCAGCAAATTAAACATGCTTTTTGATGTTAGAATATTATCTTTTTAAAATCACTTTATCACTTGTCTTTTTAAGATCATTTTATCATGCCTCTTTTGCTCATTAAAATTTTTTAAAAATAAAAACCGTTATGTAACCTGAGAATAGACAGGAGTCATTATTCAAATTTGAGACAATGGATATTAAGAAATTGAATGTAATGGACAAATGAAACAGTCGAGTCCCCAAACATTGTACATTTCACAAGCTTCATCTTCCTGGCCATTGCTCACTGGAATTTTCCTTCCCCTTACAGATAATTGAAATAGGTTTTATAATCTGTTACAAGGGAGACAATTTTGTTACAGGGTCTTAAACAAGCAGATGTTCTCAGTAGGGCGATGCTTACCCCTAACCAGTGTATTTAATTTTGTGACAGAGAAAAAGTAGCTATTATATGGATAAGCAAATGAAGAATAAACAGATTTTCTACCATGTTTAATGTTAACTTGAGGGCTATTGAAAAATATCAGCTTGTTTGCTCACTGCTGTATTTGTTTCATTTGAAACAAAAAGATACACAAACAGAAAAGTTCTTGTGAATGTGTCTCTTCAATGCAGTGAATTTTGATGGTATAATCTGAGACCTTCAGAGTGTGAGTATTTGCCAGGCGGTCAGGTAGAAGAATGTCAGATTAAAAGACAGAATGCTGTCATTCTAATTCCTGAGCTGCCATGACTTGTTCCACCCGTGTGGGCCAGGTCTCTCTTCCCTGAGGCCTTGTTTCTCTGCAGTAAAGTGAAGAACCTATCCCTCAGGCCTGCAAATGACAATATGCAGGATATATTGTCAAAGATCAGCAGGGCTGGATGCTAGTAAAAGTGGTAAGGATACATCTTAATGTCAAAGATAAACAAAGCTGGATACTAGTTAAGCGAATAAGGACAGATTTTAATCAGTAGTGCTATTGCAACAAGGAAAAAGAGTTCAGCATGAACTGAACCTGATTTGATTTGTACAGAGGTGACTGGGAATATTAATGGGAGAATGAAGATTAGAGAAGGGGCGAGCAGGAGCTCAGTAGAGTCAGAGGAGTGAAAAGTTACAAAAGGTTCATTGGTGTAAATGTGATTAGACCAGCTATGTCTGCTAACTGGCAATTGTCAAAGTTAGTTAGTTAGGATTCTGTCCTCCAGAGTCCTTATCCTTAGATGTTGTCTGGAACTGTTGATTTTTTTATCAGCCTGGAGTTTTCCCAGGCAGGTACTTTAGTGGAGGGCTGGGATCATCCTTGACATGCAGTCTTGAACAGTTAGAAACTATATTTATTAGTGTTTGTTCAAGTCTTTATAGACCAAAGTTGAGGCCAAGTTGAGAAGAGGGCTCAGAGGTACCTGACTAGAGTTTGGTCAAGGAGAGAATGTCAGTATGGAGTTATTGGTGACTTCAGCCCAATAGGGAAATTCCAGTCTTTCATTTAATCACTAGGGATATTTTGGTAAGTAAAGGAAACCAACATATGAACCAAATGTAGACCCTCACAAGAGAGTTCTCATCCTGATGTTTTTCCATCAGGGTATTAACATCTGGTGCTACCTAGCACTTGTTCATGGTTTATAAAGTTTCCATAACAGCTATTTAGAAAGAAAACGTCTCATCTTCCCAACACTGTATAGCTTCATATGTACCAAAAATGCCTTGTACAAATTTTTTAAAGAATAGTTTAAAAAATGGATGAGATGTAAAGTTGTGCAGATGTAAGTATGATCCGTATTTCCAGGGACTATAGCTAAGCGTAGTGATGTTTAGACACAATATGTCTTTGAAAAAGAATGTTTCTTTATGGTAAAAAATCAAAAGCAAAAACAAAATTTTAACCAGAGTAATACTGGAAAGCTTAATCAAATTGGTAAATAAGATACATTGTGTAATATTTATTAGTACAATGTTGTACTAATAGGTAATACCTGTGTAGGTTTTTGGTTAATTTATCTAACAAATACATTTATAAGTTTATCTTCTATGGTGCTTATATGCCTATATTTCTTCTATATGAAGTTGATTTTTACATAATAGCACCTAGAAGAAGTTAGAAAGTTAGAAGAAAAAAATGCAGGCTTTTCAAATAAAAGATAAGATAGATGTCAAATGTGCAGAAGGTCTTGAGTCTTGCTTGGCATTGGAGAATATTCCACTGTTGTGGTTCTTTCATATTATTGCTATATATGTTCATTGTCGGTACAAATACTTTTTTTTTTTCTGAGACCCAGTCTTGCTCTGTCACCCGGGCTGGAGTGCAGTGGCGTGATCTCTGCTCACTGCAACCTCCGCCTCCCAGGCTCAAGCAATTCTTGTGCCTCAGCCTCCTGAGTAGCTGAGACTACAGGTGTGTACTACCCTGCCCAGATAAATTTTTGTATTTTTAGTAGAGACGGGTTTTTGCCATGTTGCCCAGCCTGGTCTCAAACTCCTGAGCTCAGGTGATCTGTGCGCCTCGGCCTCCCAAAGAAGTGCTAGGATTACAGGCATGAGCCACTGCGCCCGGCCTACAAATACTTTAAAGAACATGAGTTGAAATCAGTAATACTTTTTAATTGTAAAGTATAACTATTTTTAATATTTGGCCCTCCTTTAGTTCCATAATGCTTCAAGTGGTTACTATTTATTGCCAGAGCAGCATCCTTTTTGTGAGAATAAGTATGATGTTCCTGCTGCATAGTTTTCTTGTATTATCTCAAATGCAATGTTCATATTTTCAGGATTCCAGTCAAATTGAGCTATTAAAAGAATTAATGGATCTGCAGAAGGATATGGTGGTCATGTTGCTGTCCATGTTAGAAGGTAGTTTTGATTTATACTTTTAAATTCTCTTTATTATCTTATTTAAAGGATCAGCATGGGCTTATGGAATCAGAGTGTAGCATAGAATAAAATAGCACTCAGATATGATAGATGCCTTGGATTTCTTGCTGGCTTATTATTCTTTTTCTCACATTAGTTTTTTTTTAAAGGGAGATCCTGCATATCTCAGTTTACATATCTACAAAATGAAAATAGTAGTACTTTATAACAGTACTTTTCATTTCATAGTGATATCGTAAAAAGTAAGCTCTCCAGTCTATAAAGAATATTTTATTTGTTAGTGTGTTTGTCCATAATCAGTGGGGGTTTCGGACATTTGGGTAACAGTCAGCTGTGTAAGCTGCTGCTTTGAAAAGACCACAGAGTCACTCCTTTGGGTTCTTAAAGCCGTGGCACTGCTGGGAAAGCCTCTGTCCCCCAGGGCAGCTGGCAGTGGTAGTCTTGTTCTCCCCACCACAGCCTCAGTTTTAATTTTCTCTTTTTTTTTCTTCCCAGCTTATTTTGTTATTGCTTTTTTTTTTTTTTTTTTTCCTGTAGCAGGCAGGAAATGTAGCAGTTAAGAGCTTGGGCTCCAAATCCACCGCCAGAGTTTAAATCCTGGCTTCCTTACCTCTGGGAGGTATGACCCTTGGACAAGCTACATCTCCATTTTTTCAGTTTCCTCCTCTGCAAAATAGAAATGATAGATATTGATATGAGAATTCAGTGGAATCCTATAAATACAACCAAAACAACTAAGAAATGTTTGGTATTACGGTGCCTATCACTTTTTCTTAACTTCTTCCTATTTTCTCTCCGTGTCTGCCATACATGGCGTAACTCCACTTCAGTTAACTGAGGCAGCTGTCACGCCTCGTGCTAGGACTTTGAAGTGGCAGCATCTGCTTAAAGCCCTTAGTCGGTGGCAACAGTAGCCACTTTATACCCTTTAAACACAGGATCCATTTTTCCATGCATGGCCCCGATTCGAATTTTGGGTTAAATACTAACAAACAGCAACAATAATAACTGCAGTAGCAGCAACCACAGCAGTGACTTAAAACCAGCCTCATAACGTGCCAGATACTGAATTAAGTACTTATTTAATCCTAGTAACAAGTTTATCAGTTCAATGGTAATATTATCTCAAGTTTGCAAATGAGGAAACTGAGGTACAGAGAGGCTAAGAAATCTGCCCAGGTTGCTGAGCACATTAAGCCTGGATTCAAACCCAACAATGTGGCTCCAGATCCCACACTCTTAACACCACGGTGCTTACTGCTTCTCCGATTGACTCTGTGGACCTCTGACCAGCGACCTTTCTTCTCCTGCCTGTCTTTATGATATATAGCACGTTCTGTTCAATGAATAAAAGCATTCTGTGATCCTGTAGTTCAGGAATCTGCCATTTTCTAACAACTATACACACTGACTCATGAAGAAATGTAGAAAGGTGCTTTTCATTATGAATCAGAAAAAGCGTACAGTTTGCTCTCAGGATCTGGTCTGAAGACCTGGCACTAACCTTTAATAATTAAGTCACAATGGGCCCATTAATTTAGTCTTGTTGAACTTCAATTTCCTCATCGGTAAAATTAGGGTTAACAAAAAGTACCTGCCTTACATATGAACATTAAATCAGATATTGTCTATGATAGTGATTTTTCAACTCTAAAGGGCTGAGCAAATGTTTATTTTTATTATTAATATGAAACGATTTTAGTTTCTGGCTCTTTGGCTCATTTTCTTTATCTAAAACATGTTGCTTCTTTGATTGAGGGGAAAAATGTCAACTTTTGTTGAAATATTTTATGTGTGTCAGTCTAATTGCTCTGTAAATAGGGTTATGCATGTTTGTGTAATCATTTTTTAAACTATAGTTTATAAATAATTATCTTTTTATAGAGTGAGAGATAAACAGGGACATATCCTTGATTCAGATGTTATTAAAGATCTACATTGTTATCTTCTGTATGATCACTGATTTTGTTAGTTTATTTTAAACAAATGCAACTGCTTTACCACCAGGTAATGTTGTTAATGGAACGATTGGCAAACAGATGGTGGATATGCTTGTGGAATCTTCCAACAACGTGGAGATGATTCTCAAATTTTTTGACATGTTCTTAAAACTAAAGGATTTGACGTCGTCTGATACTTTTAAAGAATATGACCCCGATGGCAAGGGAGTCATTTCCAAGAGGGACTTCCACAAAGCGATGGAGAGCCATAAGCACTACACGCAGTCAGAAACGGAATTTCTTTTGTCTTGTGCGGAGACGGATGAGAATGAAACCCTCGACTACGAAGAGTTCGTCAAACGCTTCCACGAACCTGCGAAGGACATCGGCTTCAACGTCGCCGTCCTTCTGACAAACCTCTCTGAGCACATGCCCAACGATACCCGACTTCAGACTTTTCTGGAATTAGCAGAGAGCGTCCTGAATTATTTCCAGCCCTTTCTGGGCCGCATCGAAATCATGGGAAGCGCCAAACGCATCGAGAGGGTCTATTTTGAAATCAGTGAGTCCAGCCGAACCCAGTGGGAGAAGCCCCAGGTCAAGGAGTCCAAAAGACAGTTCATATTTGACGTGGTCAACGAAGGCGGAGAGAAAGAGAAGATGGAACTCTTTGTGAACTTCTGCGAGGACACCATCTTTGAAATGCAGCTGGCGGCTCAGATCTCGGAGTCGGACTTGAACGAGAGGTCAGCGAATAAGGAAGAAAGCGAGAAGGAGAGGCCGGAAGAGCAGGGGCCGAGGATGGCTTTCTTCTCCATTCTGACGGTCAGGTCGGCCCTGTTTGCGCTCAGGTACAATATCTTGACCCTTATGCGAATGCTCAGTCTGAAGAGCCTGAAGAAGCAGATGAAAAAAGTAAAAAAGATGACCGTGAAGGACATGGTCACGGCCTTCTTTTCATCCTACTGGAGTATTTTCATGACCCTCTTGCACTTCGTGGCCAGCGTTTTCAGAGGCTTTTTCCGCATCATTTGCAGCCTGCTGCTTGGGGGAAGCCTCGTCGAAGGTGCTAAAAAGATCAAAGTTGCAGAACTGTTAGCCAACATGCCAGACCCCACTCAGGATGAGGTTAGAGGAGATGGGGAGGAGGGAGAGAGGAAACCCCTGGAAGCCGCCCTGCCCTCCGAGGATCTGACCGACTTAAAGGAGCTGACAGAGGAAAGTGACCTTCTTTCGGACATCTTTGGCCTGGATCTGAAGAGAGAAGGAGGACAGTACAAACTGATTCCTCATAATCCAAATGCTGGGCTCAGTGACCTCATGAGCAACCCAGTCCCCATGCCTGAGGTGCAGGAAAAATTTCAGGTAATTTATCTCTAAGTCACAGCAGCATTCTCTCTGGACTTCAGGTGGGTATAATAAATGATCATTAGACCAGGTTTCATGCTAGTGCCAGAACGGTGTTACCTATGTGACTTGAATTTCCAAAGAGAAATGCTTTTTGGTAGACAAAGTTAGTGTTTTTAAGAGTCCTTATGAATTATTAAATTATCTTAAACTATTATGGTGTAAGCTTCAGTACCCACCCTAACTGTAGCCTACATCTTTCTCCACGTTTATATAATTTTATATGCACATTTGAAAAGTTGGGAAAAGAAAGAAAACTTTTAGATACCTGTAAGTGGCATTATTCTCACAGAGCATTGAAATTTTCTCCTCTGTTCTGTGATTTTCTTTGGCATGTTTTCATTGTATGTTCTTTGTAGTCATTAGTCCATAGAGCCATCATTCCATCCATGAATATGGCATATTTTCCAAGTGTCTGACAGACACCACTGGGTATCATAGGGAATTCAAAGGTAAGATGGGGTCACTGCCTTCAAATTACCTTAAAAAGTTTATTCCAGAGATAAAACTAACACACATGAAGAAACTAGAAAAGGGTTAACTGTGAAATAGTATAGGCAGGGCAGTAGGGGTTGCTTATGTTGAGAAAATGGCAATGCCGCTATGGTTTAAAGTAGTTAGATAAGAATGAAGAGGTAGGACTTAAACTGGCATTGAAGGATGAGTAAGATTTTAGTAGGTGCTTAAGATAAAGAAGGATATTTCTAAATGAGAAAAGAGAGTGAAAAGGAGTCCAGAAAGTTTGTCCCTGCTGCTGGTGCAGTAGGTCAGTGTGCAGAAGAAGCGGGAGATGTTTGGCCCTATAAAATGAAAAACACGTGGCGCTTTTATCGTGGTATAAGCAAGAGGGTATCTTATATAGGTTATGGTTTGACACATGGTCACATGGCTCCCTCAATTCATTCAAAGGTGATGGGTAATCCTGGTTTTCTTTTCCCCATTGACTCATTCAAGGAACAGAAGGCAAAAGAAGAAGAAAAGGAAGAAAAAGAAGAAACCAAATCTGAACCTGAAAAAGCCGAGTATGTATAGTTTGCATATACTTTTCCTTCGTTTCAGTTTGTCATTACATCTCTTTTTCTTGTACTCTGTCTTTGGGAGCTGCAAGGGAGAATCTCATATTGTCAAGGAGCCACAGAACTAATTGTGCCATCTCCGTGGAGAGGCTCTGACAGCGAGGACCTCAGGCCATGGGCAGGGATCACTGTAGACGCCCCCGGGGCTGCCAGTCTAGTCTTTTCCTCTCATTCCATGGGGACCTCCATTTGTGTGATTCCCTCTCAGCAGGAAAGACTCCAGTGATTGCATGGAATGCTGTTTGTAAGAGGACTCAGGGCCACAATTCTGTCTTTAAAAATCACTCATGTCTTTCTGTCCTTTCCAAGAAGGGAGGAAACAAACATTCCAAATGCGCTTTCATAGAATCCTGTGGAGTGGTGCTCCTTAAACCATAGACCCAGGACCACATGCATAAAAGTCCCCGGGAGAGTTGGTTAAAACAAACATTCCTGGGCCCCAAGCCATAGATCCTGCCTCAGCAGGTCTGGTGTGGGGCCTGGGAGCCTTCATTTTCACCAACACTCCTGGGATCAACGCAGCAATAAAAAAGAGCTGGATGTGAGGCGATGAAAATGCATAACTCCCTCATAACACCAGGTTTCTCTGAATAATCGAAGCCTACATCTTTCTCCACGTTTATAGAATTTTATACGCACATTTGAAAAGTTGGGGGAAGAAAGAAAGGAAGCTTTTAGGTGCCTGTAGTGCCACTATTCTCCCATAGCATTGAAATTTTCTCCTCTATTCTGTTATTTTCTTTGGTCTGTTTTCATCGTTATGTTTTTGTAGTCAGCACTATTCATTGTCATAGATCTCACACTATTGGGTCAGTTGTAAAAATGGCCCCATAAAAAGTAGACACAAATAACAGCAAGACAGGCATTTCAATGGCAATTCTTTAACTAATATATACCTCATATGAGTTAAGATTAAGTATAGCTTATATATATTAATATTTCTGGTTTATGTATTAATACATATGACTTCACTTTAATTTAATGAAGGACTGATATTTTGCACCTAAAGGATATCAAATGTCAATTCTTCTAATTCCATTATTGTTGGAATTAATATATCATTACTATAATTCACTTTATTTTATTTAATAAAATTAATTACAATTAATATATGTCAGAGTATAATGATACACTTTATACATGTGAACAATTAAGTGTGTAGGCCTCTGATTTTAAATCTTAATGGAAAATGTTAAAAATTGTGCATTAAAATTATAGGCTGGGCGTGGTGGCTCACACCTGTAATCCCAGCACTTTGGGAGGCCGAGGCGGGCGGATCATAAGGTCAGGAGTTCAAGACCAGCCTGGCCAACATGGCGAAACCCCATCTCTACTAAAAATGTAAAAAAAAGTTAGCTGGGCATGGTGTCACATGCCTATAATCCCAGCTACTTGGAAGACTGAGGCAGGAGAATCACTTGAACCCGGGAGCTGGAGGTTGCAGTGAGCTGAGATGGCGCCCCTGCATTCCAGCCTGGGTGACAGAGCGAGACTCTGTCTCAAAAACAAAAAAAAAAAAAAAAAAAAAGGATTGAAATTATAATTTAAAAATAGGGTATGTGGGACAGTCATAGCAAAATCATTCATCATTCTTCATTTTTTTAATGTTTCATTGCAGAATTGGAAGGAATCTGCTATGCATAAAGATTCTTCAAGCCTATAAAATGTCCTCTATATTTCAACTTCACAGAATTACCCATCTCCAGGGGACTGTGATCAACAGAAAATCCTACCCCTGATTCTAAAATTCAGAATATTATCATTCACCGGAAAAGAAATTAGTTTTCAAAAGTAATATGATGGCCTAAAATATTTGTTCACTTGGGTAATTTTCCACAACACCCGTTTAGTTCTTTAGTTTCTGGAGAGCTTATGTTTTGTTTGTTTGTTTTCATAGGGGAGAAGATGGAGAAAAAGAAGAGAAAGCCAAGGAAGACAAGGGCAAACAAAAGTTGAGGCAGCTTCACACACACAGATACGGAGAACCAGAAGTGCCAGAGTCAGCATTCTGGAAGAAAATCATAGCATATCAACAGAAACTTCTAGTAAGATGTTTTAGAATGAATATTGTTACTGATATAGTGCAATACCGTAATAATTTAGGCTCAGTAAATGTTTGCTGACCTCTCCCTGAGTGGCAGTTAGGGAACCAGGTTAGTCCAGCACATGTTTGATTTGCTCATTGTAGTGTGTTTATCTTTTATAGTGAATGTCTCTGGCCCACCGCTCCCTACTGTCAAACCCATAACCTCTACTCATGTTCACACTCCCTGAAACCCTTTCATTTGGTTCCTGCCAGGACAGTGCTCCCAGTGTCTGCCCACAAAGACATTAGGACAAGTGAATAAACATAGTCTAAGGACCTGCAACAGATTTTAAAGCAAGATGTGCCTTCTAGGACACAAGTAATTCAAAAATGTTCCAGAACTAGATTAGTCAGTATTTCTATAACATCACCGTTTTACTTAAAAATCCAGGTATAAAAATATTAGCTAATTGAGCCATAGTCAGTATTTCTATAACATCACCCTTTTACTTAAAAATCCAGGTATAAAAATATTAGCTAATTGAGCCACTTTCCATTGATAATAAGAAGGTCTATTCAAAATTGTTCTTTAAGAGAGGGATTACAGTTCTTTATATACTGTCCTGTACATTTTACAGAGGTGTTCCCCTAATTAGTAAAGCACACATTCATATTTGGAAAACAAAAGGTATAGCTCTCTCTATGTCTATTCATATTTATCTTGAAATTCTTAAAAATATTGTTTGAAAGGCCTTTATTAACATGCATGTGTAATGTCACATGTATACACATATATGTGTCTCCTATCCTTTTCCTCCATGCTTATCTCCTATCCTTTTCCTCCTTTATAAAAATTAAACATATGTGTATATATGTATAATTTTTATAATTATATGTGTATATATGTATAATTATATGTGTGTATATATGCATAATTTTTATAAATTTTTATAATTTTTATAAGGGAGGAAAAGGATAGGGGATAAGCATGTAGAATCCACCTACAAGAGGTACTGACCAGTGATGTTAGACCTAGAATTTAAGAACAACAACCCTCATAAGAAAGCCATTTGAACAGCAGAGTCATATTTAGTGTTTTTTAGCCCTTGAGAAATCAAAAATTGACAACTCAGAACCTCAATGAACTATAGAATTTCACCTATAAGGAAAGTGGACTGTCCTCAGTAATTATATATTCTAAATGCTTATCTTTAAACATGGTTATGTATTATATATTTTATGCAAATATATTTTAATTTAGTTGTAACTACATTTCCTAAACCATCTTGTATTTTCCCTATATTGTTTAATACAGAGTTCACTGAACAGAAATGTTTCCTAGATAACTAACTCTGAATAATTCCTAATTTGGTATGCCATAATGGCTTCCATGGCTGCAGGTATAGTTCTATTATAGGTCATGGCTGCAGGTATAGTTCTATTATAGGTCATGGCTGCAGGTATAGTTCTATTATAGGTGGTTTAAAGGTTGAATGGGCGCTGCAGCACCCCAGTGGGTTCCTGAAGAATGTGTTTAACTACAGTTGTGTAAACCAAGTAGTTGAGATTTTGCTTCCAGCTTTCACTGTGTCAGGGTTCACATGTTCTGTTGTCTCTGCACAGCTCCTCCCTTTTCCTGCATCTCTTTGCTATCTTTCTCGGCTCACCGATTTGCATGCACATGACCAGTCATGGCCACATCCGTCTAACAAAGGCCCCTTTTCCCCTAAGTGAGAGCTCAGCCTAGCTAACTCAGCCTCTGTGACCCAGATCCACCTTCCAAGGACAACCAGTGAAACTGACGCAGTCTGGGTGTGGTGGACAGCCTTGTTCTAATAAGCTCTGGCAGTAAAGATGGGGTCCTGTGTGGGGAAATGACACGAACAGAGATGGGCTGTGTACACAGAGGGGAATATCATTCTGAGGTGTTACATTTTGATGTAGCTTTATTATGGTAAATCCCCTGACATATCCACTTAAATTATATTGACATCTCCCACTTAATATTAAAACAAATGCTTAATGTCCACCATAACCTATTACTTTAAACCCACTTCTCTAGGCTTTATTTTTTCCCAGCCCAATAAATTGTACCAGCTGTTCCCTTAGTTGCTGAGGCTCCCAAATTCAGAAGGTATCATCTTTGAACCCTCTCTTTCCCACCTTAAATACAACCCAACGATAATTATTCTCAGTTGTTCCAAATACATCGAGTCTGCCCAGTTCTTGCCATCTCCACAGGTACCATTAAGTCCAATCCACCACCATGAACCTCACCTCTGCCTGACGTCTTGTACTAACTTTCTAACGGGTCCTCTTGCTTTCACTGTTGTTCCACTGCTATCAGTTTTCACATAGTAGCTGGAGTGGGCCTTCCAAATCATAATCCAACTGCACCAAGTCCTCCTGAAATCCTCTAATAGCTTCCCATCCCACCTAGAATAAAATAATAATTATACTGGAATATTACATTTATTATAGATAATCAACATAATAATTATATTAATAACGAACTTTCCCTATATTAACTCATTTCATCTTCAAAGCACACTTAAGAGTTAAGGTCTTTTGTTATTCCCACTTCGCATGCAGATGAGCAGAGTGATGCTACAGAAAAGATTAAGTCATTTGTCCATATCCCACACTAGGAAATGGAGGGAGGCAGGCTTCATATCCAGGCAATGAGGCCTCGGAGGTTGTAAACTGAACCACCACACTGTCAAAGACAAGACAACCTTTTATCAGAAGCCTACAAAACCCTGCCCCCTGCTCACCTGTCTGATCACATCCCCCTGCCACCCCCACACATCAGTCTCCCTTCTTCTCACTGTGTTTCCTTCTATTTCTCAAACACACCAACATCACTCCTAACTCAGGGCCTCTGCCCTTGTTGCTCCTCTCTTTGACACACTCTTTCTTTCCCCAAATATTTGTATGACTTGCTCCCCGCTTGTGCATTCAGGCCTCTCTGTTCAAAGCTTACCTCCTGAGATAAACCTTCCCAGACCAACACCATCTAAAATAGCACCCCTATTCCCTAAGCTCCTAACCCGATGTAGTTTTCTTCTTAGCATTTAACATTCTCTGAAATTATGTTTTTCACTTGCGGGTATGCTTTTTTATTCTTTGTCTCCTCCATGGTGGCAGAAATGTTCTCCCTCACTTTTAGGTCTGCAGCACCAAGAATGGTGCTTGAAACAGTAGGCTTGCGATCAATTGTTTGGGGTAAATGAATGAATGCTTTATTTAAATTGACTGCAGGTTTCAAGCCTGTTGATTCAGTGACCTTTTCATAATGTTTTTCACCCTCAGAACTATTTTGCTCGCAACTTTTACAACATGAGAATGTTAGCCTTATTTGTCGCATTTGCTATCAATTTCATCTTGCTCTTTTATAAGGTACGTACATCTCACTGTTTTAATTACTGGTATAAAACTCCAAATAGAAATGAATGTAAAGATTTCACGATGAACGTATCTACTACTGCTAGTGAACATGTCTAAACCTATTATGAAATACTGGTGCCTAGGCACTGATATCACTGTTATCTAGGAAGGCAAGATAGATTTGTTCCTGAGAAGTGAGAAATGCCTCAACTGAAGGGCATTTGATTTAGCAGAGGGCTTCCCCACAGTATTCCCAGCCTAATTTAGCTGAATATCTTATTTGTGACTATGCCTGGGTGTGGCATACCGTATTATATTACATTCTTTTGTAATTGAGAAGAGAGCTTAGCCATCTAATTTTTTAGCATGCATTGGAATCCTCAGAATTTTTGGTTGAATAAGAATGAATTTTAAAAGTATGTTCATTACTTGCCTTTGGTTTTTGAAAAGCTATCGTTTTTAGCCTTTGCTATTAGTCCTTTCATTATGCAGTGACTTCACATCCAACTATTTGCTGAAAAGGCTGTATTTCTTTTGTCTTTTGCTTGCAATGGTATCTTAGATGCAGCAAACTGACTCTACTTTAAATGCTTTGAATCAGGTCTCCACTTCTTCTGTGGTTGAAGGAAAGGAGCTCCCCACGAGAAGTTCAAGTGAAAATGCCAAAGTGACAAGCCTGGACAGCAGCTCCCATAGAATCATCGCAGTTCACTATGTACTAGAGGAGAGCAGCGGCTACATGGAGCCCACGTTGCGTATCTTAGCTATTCTGCACACGGTCATTTCTTTCTTCTGCATCATTGGATACTACTGCTTGAAAGTAAGATAGTAAGGCACCAAGGTACCTGTGTGTGTGTGTGTGTGTGTGTGTGTGTGTGCGTGTGTGTGTGTGTGCGTGTGTGTGTGTGTGTGTGTGTGTGTTTTGCAGGCTGGACTTCTGGGGAAGCAGATTCTGAGCTGGAAACTTTGTGCACAAAGTTTCTGAGGGAATGCTCCATGAATCAACATGCATGGGGCAAATGGAGGAAGGATGGGACAGAGGGGAAAGCTGGGCTACTGTAGACAGACACAGCAGGTGCCGTCTCCAAAGCTGGGATGCCCCTTCAGGGCTGTCCTGGCCTGGGGCATTGGAGCCTGGCCTTTTTATGTCTACATTGACTAGTCTGCCCTGGGAAGGGGCTATGGCCATGAGCTGTCTTAAAGTAGCTTTCTTTCATATACTGATAATTATTCACATAGAGAATTTCGCCTATAACTTGGCCCTACAGAAGTGAGCTCACCCACCCACTATGTCTCATGGTAATGCAGTGATACTTGGTGTATTAAGACTTATAGAAATATATTGTGTCAATCCTGGGAGTCATTTTATTGTTTTATTATGAGGGAAGTATCTACTGCTATTCTTGGCAGAAATGCCTCATGATTTGTCACACTTCACCCAGAAAATAATGCAGCTTTATCCCCAGAGGCCTGCCAAGGGAACAATATAATTTGGTGAATAGAACCCAAGATAATCTCTCTGAGTGCTCAGGGCTGCCCATTACCTGTCCAAACCTCTTTATCTTTTCCTAGCAAGGTGCTTTTTTACTGTAATGCCTTTATTTCACTTTCACTGTCCTCTGCCTCTGGTTATAAATCTTGCAGAAGACGTGTGAAAAACCAGGGCTCAGAGTAAAAGACTAGAATGTAAAGAGTTATTCAGGAACTCCTTTCCTCCCGTTTATTCTGTTTTATGGGAGTGCATATTCTTGGCTATTTCCAGAATATCAGTGTCTATCTGCTATCTGTGCCTTGTGTAAAGTCTGTCCGTGTAAAAAGAGAATCATTATGTTCTAGAAAATCATTATGTTCTGGAAATATTTTGACAAACTGACAGATTTTTGCTGATGTCGAAATTAAAATTTATCTCAAAATAGTATGTGGTGATGCTGAGCATGAAATTATTAAAGAGGTTTCTCAAATAAAACTGCACTTTAGTAGCATGCATTTGGGAACATTGCTGCAATTGCTAAATTTTATTTCATTCATTCATGTTGAGAGATATATGTAAACAAAATGATTTTGCATAATCATCTTTTCATCTTTGAAGTTTAAAAATGATTTCACTAGTGTAATTATCTATAAGACCCTATGTGTTTAAAAACATATGCATATATGTAATATCTATTCTATCTTCTGTTTTTCCAAAACCTTCTAGATGCTTCTTCCTGCTTGAATATAGCTGATTCATTTTCATTCCATTTTTACCTTCCTAGAAGTACACAGGAAATATTTCTTTCCAAAAGCTGTTTTGTAAAGATAGTGACCACAAGATATGCCAGTAAATCTAAACTAATTTTAACGTATTTATTTTTCCTATGTAGGTCCCATTGGTTATTTTTAAGCGAGAAAAGGAAGTGGCACGGAAATTGGAATTTGATGGGCTTTATATTACAGAACAGCCTTCAGAAGATGATATTAAAGGCCAGTGGGATAGACTCGTAATCAACACACAGTGAGTAAATAATTATATGAGACTTTCTGCACTCAAAAATTTCAGACATGAAAATATTTGGTTGGAGTTCCTGCAGATTTGTCAAAAGTTTAGCAGAGGTGAATAATAGTTATATATTCAGCCAAGAAAAATCTAAAGACTCAGTGCTGTCCAACTCTTAATGGTGGATGTCCTCAATTTTTGCCCTCTGAGTTCTGAATTCCTTAATTAAAAATGGCTTAGAGTTCATTTCCACAGCACTGATGGAACTTCACATCCATTACTCAGCGTTCAGGGATGTGTGTAGCAGGAAGTGCATGACCTGCAGGCAGGGTTATCTCATCCAAAAGCAGAGGCAAAAATTATTCATTAACGAAAAAGTTGTAGCATTAAAGGAAAATGCATTGAATTTTACACCTTGAATATATCTGAGTTATCAACTTTCAGTACCATCAAGCACCCTAGCATGAAACTAACTAAATATTAGGACACGGTGTAAAATGTAAGACAGAAAAACAAATGCTTTTTCTATCCAATAAACATTTAGCCCTGTGAGATCAAGACCCAAACTACTAGCTGCTGTTCTGAGTATAAGTCCATCACAAAAGTATAATTTTTCACTGTAAAAAGAATTAGTGCAATAGTTGTAATAGTTTATATTTACTATTCGAGTGAAATCTTTTTAAAATTGTGATTAGTTTTGCTAATTAAAAAGTCATTTGCTAATGGGTTCCGAGTTGTCAAATGGAGATTATTTATACATGATACATGTTTATCCTAAATGCTAAATGTTTTGTTTAGCAATTCTACCATTAATACTAATTTCTAAGCAAGTCAGTCCCTTTAGGCAAACTCTCTATGTATTAGTGAAGACGCTAGAGTTGTGCTTTGCTGCTATGCTCGAAGTTTCTGTGAGGATAAGTGGTGGGAAAGAGATTTTTTTCTTCATGGGAAAAACAATGACAGGTTTCTAGATACTTTAATTTTTAAAGGCAATTGATAAACAGGTCTATGTACTGATATGTTATAAACAAATAAATATAACAATGCTACCTAATAAATATGCTCATATTCTTCTCCATTAAAGTATCAGCTTATAATCTTTTGTATATATTTACATGTTAATATTTAAAATAATATTCAAATACCTATGATGCAGGAAATTATGTGATGTTAGCCAAATTCATTGTAAGTTTACGTGGCAGGATATATGTTTACATATTATTTTAAGTATGCCATATATCCCAAATGATATGTTATTATTTGTCATTAAAAATAATACTATTTACTTCTATGCTTTTGTATATTTTAGGTCATTTCCCAACAACTACTGGGACAAATTTGTTAAAAGAAAGGTAATATTACTTGGAATCCTCTACATTTTTCTTAAAGCACAGTTTAGATTTTTATTTGATGTGATTCAGATGTAGAATAAGATATTGAGGTATAATTTATCTGCCTATTAATGTCTCCATTTTTTTTTTTTAATTTTTGAGATGGAGTCTCACTCCGTCACCCAGGCTGGAGTGCAGTAGCGCGATCTCAGCTCACTGCAACCTCAGCTGCCCAGTTCAAGCAATTCTCCTGCCTCAGTCTCCCGAGTGGCTGGGATTCCAGGCGCCTGCCACCACACCCGGCTAATTTTTGTATTTTTAGTCGAGATGGGGTTTCGCCATGTTGGCCTGGCTGGTCTCTGACTCCTGACCTCAGGTGATCTGCCCGCCTTGACCTACCAAAGTGCTGGGATTAAAGGCATGAGCCACCACATCCGGCCAAATATGAATTTCAAGAATAGCACATAATGGCCGGGCGCGGTGGCTCACGCCTGTATGTATATACAGGTATGTATGTGTGTGTGTGTATATATATATATGTATATGTATATATATATATATATACACATATATATATACACACATATATGGATACACACACATATGCACGCGTATGTGTGTACATATGTATGTGTGCATATGTGTACATATGTATGTATATGTATATATGTATATACATATATAAATGTGTACATGTACATATATGTATATTTGTAAATGTACATATATATTTTTTTACTTTGTTAGAAGCAATGTGTTCGATTTTTATGTGGAGGAGGTACAAGTGTTTTGTTCCCTCGTGACCTGGCATCTTGAGTCGCACTGCGCTAGTGCATCTGAGGACACCCAAATTAGGCAAAAGCTGTGAAAGAATAATTTTAAAATGGTTTTAAATAGATAATTTGAACATTTTATTCCTATTATTTAATGGAATAAGGAAGAAGCTTCTAAATTATTAAAGCAAGAGTTTCTTGCTTTAATGAAGAAAACTCTATATCTGTAGTCAAATAAATAGGTAAACCATAATGGCAGCTAATCCTGTTCCTGGATTTCCCGCTATGGTACCTAATTTGTCCTGCAGGGAATGTGAGGACACAGTCCCGAGAGAATCCCCCGGCTCAAATCAGCCCAGCCCATTTTTAGCACTGTGAGAATAATGCAAAACAAATGGTTTTAATTAACCTAAGTAGTTCATGTTCATAGGCTCTTTCTTTTGGTTTCTTTTAATTTACTTGATTGCATACATTCAGAAAAAGCCAATTTTTATATCTGTTAATCCCTTCTTTTCATCAGTATATTTCCTTCTTCATTCACTTCAATCTTGTTCAGTATATTTCCTTCTTCATTCACTTCAATCTTGTATTTTCACATTCTGTCTCCTTTTCTAATCTTTTCTCCTGTATAGTGGACTCCTTTTTTGCTACCAGTGATCTCTCCTCCTGCTTGTCTTTAATTGCTTTTCCTGTTCCCTCCATTTTCTTTTTTTGTTTTTGAGACAGAGTCTCACTCTGTTGCCCAGGCTGGAGTGCAATGGCATGATTTCAGCTCACTGCAATCTCCACCTCCTGGGTTCAAGTGATTCTCCTACCTCAGTCTCCCAAGTAGCTGGGATTACAGGTGTCTACCACCATGCCTGGCTAATTTTTGTATATTTAGTAAAGACAAGGTCTCACCATGTTGGCCAAGCTGTCTCGAACTCCTGACCTCAAATGATCCACCCACCTCGGCCTCCCAAAGTGCTGGGATTACAGGAGTGAGCCACCACTCCTGGCCTCCATTTTCATTACTGTGTAAGACTCACTCAGGAGGTATATGAACCAGAGGCCAAGAAGAGCTGTATCCCAGAGTTGGACATAACTGAGCTCACAGGGGAGCTGTGAGCACATCCAAGCCCTGCTCTAAAAACATGACAAATGGGCAAAGCCAGGCAGATGGGACAGAAGAGAAATAAGCAAGGAAGCTGAAGGGGATTGTTAAGAATTATTCTAATGATTGATAGACATGGAATCTATACTAGATGCTAATTAAAATGAGGATGGTGACAAGGTTGCAGGTCCTGGTGTTTTACTGAAGAATTGCTGGGGTCAGGATACTCAGGGGAGTGGGTTAGAAAGATGGGCATTGTGGCCAGAGAGTTGAAGGGTTGAAATTGAGACCATGGAAGGATGCCACCCCTGTGATGTGCCCCCTATTGGCATGCAGAGGTCTATGCAGAAGATCATTGGCTGGGGAGTCAGGCATGGCCTGGTTGCTTCCTGGACCCATCTCTTGCTGAGTTTAGCAAACTTAGGCACATTACATGAAGTTTTCTAAGGTACAGTTTCTTTATCTGCAGAATATCAATAACGTGAAACCTACATATTGTGACAGTCACATGGAATGAAGCATAATTTCTGGCACAAAGTATTAATTTAGTAAAGGTCGTTCTCATTCCATTTCCCTCCATTTCTTATGCTTTTATTTCAGCTCATCATCTTCTTTGGTATGACTCCCTCTCTTGAATGAGAGAGAAATCTTGTTCCTCAGATAGGTATTATGTAAGATGCTGTGAATTTGTTTAGACCTTAAGCAGTGTGATCACAGAAGGTGAGCCACACACTAGATTTTAAGTGATTGTTAGGGCAAATATACAGTAAGTATAAAAATAATTAGATGTTTTATACACACATATAGATGATGTTACTTAATGGTTGAAGCCAACAAAATGCTTTTTCTCATACCCCAAGGTTATGGATAAATATGGAGAGTTCTACGGCCGAGACAGAATCAGTGAATTACTTGGCATGGACAAGGCAGCTCTGGACTTCAGTGATGCCAGAGAAAAGAAGAAGCCAAAGAAAGACAGCTCCTTATCAGCTGTGTAAGTGTTACTTCGGCTCTATCCTACAGACTTAGATTGAAAGGGGAAAACATTAATACATTTTTAAACTTGTGCATTGATTTCCTTTCCTTCAATGTCAGAAGAATAGATAGATGAGGAAAACAGAAAGTATATAAAGTCTACTTTTACACTTCTTGGTATTTGGAACTCTGGAATTATTGGATTTTTTTTCTATTAATTTTTGGAGGTACCTTTTAATATTTATAAGAGAACAGAAAGACTATGTTTTTTACTTAATTTGCCTTTTCTGTCTTTAAATGATCCTTAAATCTAAGTAAAACACATGCAAAAACTCAATATATGGCTGTTTTCTGGTAATTCCTGTTTGAAAAAACGTTAATTTTCTTATGTTTTGGAAAAGGGAACTATGTAGCCCTTGTATTTAAAATGTTCAGAGGAACTCATATTACTTTACTATAAGTATTGTATTGTTTTGAACAGCAAAGGCTTAGTGCGTCAGAAATAATATACCATCATACCATTACTTGTAAAGTTTACTTCAAAATGAAACACTCTTTATATACTGCTTTCATGGAATAATATGTTTCTAAACCAGTTGAGTTGAATGCACCTGAATTTAAATGTCACACACACACACACACACACACACATATAGTGTGAGTGTACAGATATATACATACATCCATTTAGCAAATTTGATCAACTGAATCTCTGGAATAAAAGTAAAACATGCTTTTAAAAACGTAATTGCTTATTGTAGTCACTTAATGATTTTGGAAGAAACATAATACTTTCTCTTAACATGAGTAGGGATGTGATGGTTACTTTGAAAACATATTTCTGGTTCTGTGAAGCAGTATTATTTTCTTAATCTGTTAGCTAGCATTAAAAAGATAGTTTAGCTGGCCTATCTCATTGGTCATATTGTTTTTATCTATCTGAAAACTTATTAAGGTGAACTTGTTTTTGAACTTACTGAAAACAACTTGGATCAGCAAATATGAATTAAGTTCCAAAATATTACTTGAGTACTCTAGGAAAACAAATGTATATTTAAACGTTGTGCCGCTGCCTGTAAAATGAAACACCGATGGGCAATCCTTAGGATCTGTGTTCCTTATGTTAGAATATCATGAAACAAGAACTAGGGTGTGAGGCTGAGCATCCCACAAACATTTTCAGATCCTTAACAAGCAATATAGAATTAAATAGTTTTACTGAGTTATGCATTTTCTGTGGTCATATTTGTGACTCTAAAAAAAAGTCTGAAAAAATAGAAGGGAAGTTTAGACTGTTTTTCTACTATGAAGAAATAGTTTTAAATTGGCATAGTTTTCTACCATTATACATAGTAACTGTTTGTAAGTAAGTTTGACCCCTAGCAAAGTACCAAGAAGTTCATATGGCATTTAACACCTTGACATATGGAGAATAAAATTAGAAGAATAAAGTTCTGGTAAATAATGTACAACTAGGAAAAAGATTTACATATAATGTCTCTTTACTAAAGCATTTAGGAAGGTCAGGTTTTAAAAGATTATCCGATTTCTATATGAACGCTATCTTAATGGGAACATTCAAATACAAAATGATTTATATATTTATTTATCAAACACATAAGGCTTGGTATGTGCACCTTTAAATAAGTGGCCAGCTCCATTCCTGGGGGTGGAATAGCTGCAAGCAGTCTGGAAGGCTGCAGGTGTCTTCATTTGCGTCCTCACTGGGGAGGAAAGGAGCTCATGTCTCAAAACATCTCCAAAACTCACCTTCCTGGTTATAGTTTACCCTTGACTGGAGCTTTGGAGTCCCCCCGCCCCCCAACCAGGAAGGCCGTGTTCTGATTGGCTTAGCTCAGCCATGGCCCTCCCCCAGAGGTGGGGTCAGCCTCACCGAAACAAACAGCATGGCTGCCACCTACGGGTGAGAAATGAGTGCTGTGTGATACTGATGGTATATTGTCACACTAATGTATGCTAGAGATGGAAAATAACTCATAAGAATAACTTTTAAAATAAAATAAATAAGAAACCACCATAGGAAATTCATACATCCTGATATAAACCATTATTCTGTTTTAGATTGCTTTAATGTAAAATAATTATGCTCCCATGCAAACTACTACATTTTTTCCCCCAACTCTTCCTTTTTTCATTTAAGAAAAAAAATTCTTATATTGAAACCTGTTGTAAATATTTGTGGCACTTTTTTTAAAGGCTCCTGTGATAATAAAATTAATTATAGTTCAAAGATAACTTTATTTAAGGAAAAAAAAATTGTTTTTAATCCTGGAGTAAGTTAAATGAGCCTTAACCCTTAGTGAAAAAAATCTCCTAAAAAGTCACCTTCGATTTGCAACTACTTAGCATTTATAATTTAAGAAAGATTCGCTTAATTAAAAGAAATGATTAAAGAAGTCAATAAAGACTAAAACATTAAATCTAGAGAAACCCTTTAGAAAATAATATTGCCATTATGTTATATTGCATTATTTCATATCAATTACTTAGAGCTGGAATATTGGAAAGGCTGGGAAAGTTACAATTTCTAGCCTATAAATCAGTGGCAAGTTCTGAAAAAATGAAAATTAACACATATATTTTAATATACGTGTTTGTAATCTGCAAAGATCACAAATATTTACTTTAGTATTTATCCATTCAACATATATGTATTTAGACATTCAGTGTGTGAGCTGGGGAGTTCACAGACAAGTGAGAGAGGCATATAACCACCTACATGCATATACCAGCACCCACAACTGTAAGACAATGTGGAAAATAATAATAAAAGGAATTGTCTACAAAATGCTATGAGAACTGAGGGGAAGGGCTAAATTCCTGCCTGGATGTAAAAGGAAACAGAGAAGGTGAATTTTCTGGAAATGAAGTAAAAACAAAACAATTTAAAAGCTCTTTCATTTATAAAATAAGGTAGTTGTAAAATAAATGTGTATATTTATGCTAGCTTTTATTATTTGAATCAAAAGTTATTCTGTTGGAATGCAATTGCAAGTGCATATGAAAGTGAGGAAATGTTTGATGTGTACATATGTTGGCCAATTTAGTACAGTTTCAAGGAATAAATGTTATATGTAGCTGGGCACAATGGTGCATGCATGTAATCCCAGCACTTCGGGAGGCCAAAGCGGACAGATCCCCTGAGATCAGGAGTTCAAGACCAGCCTGGCCAACATGATGAAACCCCATCTCTACAAAAAAAAAAAAAAAAAAAAAAAAATTCGCTGGGAGCGGTAGCACATGCCTGTAATCCCAGCTACTCGGGAGGCTGAGGCACGAGAATCGCTTGAACCGGGGAGGCAGAGATTGCAGTGAGCCAAGATTGCACCATTGCATTCTAGTCTGGGTGAATGAGTGCAACTCTGTCTCAAAAAAAAAAAAAAAATGTTAATACTGAATGTAGGAAAGGGAAAGGTGAAAAAGAAAGGACTATTTTTAAATAACATAAGACGAAGGTGATGATGTTTTGTTTTCCAAGATCCTCTAAGAACACATCATGAAACTCTAGGATACAGTGTCAGAGTTGGCTCTCAGCTCCTCCCTTGGCATCTGGGATAGAACTCGTTTCCCAAGAAGGTGTCCAAGTCTTGTCCCATTGAATGTGAAGGCCGTCAGGCTCTCGCAAGCCTATGAGTCTTTGGTTAATGTGCATAACTACGCATTTTTTTTTTTTGTCATTGCAGACTGAACTCCATTGATGTGAAGTATCAGATGTGGAAACTAGGAGTCGTTTTCACTGACAACGTAAGCCTACTTCATTATCACAAAAGAAAATGCACTCTGATTAGATAAGACTGTGGGAGTTCTGCAGATGGAAGGCTGGTTATTTAGAAAATGTTTCGAATACCAATTCATTTCATACAGACCAGATCTGGAGAGAGACCCACAGAATGATATGATTAATGAGCCCATCTCTCATTCCATTTCTTTCAATAGCTGAAATAGTAAAATGAAAATATATGAAAAACTGAGATGCAGATTTGTGAGTACGTTCATTAAGGTTTTAATTGGACAATGGCATACTTCAGTTTTATAGATGTTAAAAAGAAACTCCTAAATAATTTTAAAAGAACATTAATTGTGCTAAATTTAGGTTTTCCCCAAATTAAGTACATTAACTTATGGAGTTTTATTTTATTTTTTTTATTCTCCTTTTACCAAAGAGCCTTTGGAGACTAAATATAGGGCCGTAATATATATCCAAATAGAAAAAAATTACCTATTACTAAAAACCGCCAGGTGTCTCAAGATTTCACTCTTTAATTTTAGCACTGACTTTTATAGTTCACGTTAGTTCCATTCTCCTATTTAGAAGCATTTGATAGCCCCCAAATTCTCCTGCCTCTATCCTTATCCCTTCCCTCATCCAGCCATGGGCCCAGAACTCTGGGTGTCTTAGGAGCATTCTCTAAGAGTTCAAAATCAGGTCTTCCAAGTATCTTTCAGAACCATAAACTATTAATACACTATCTTACAACTAATTTCTCATCCAAATGGGAGCAACTCCCCTGAATAACAAGAGGGCAACCTCAGCTTTGGCTCTAGTTGGCATTTTCCACTGAAGTGGCCAGTCCATCTTAAGTTCTGCCTGCTAAGCTCAATCTTCCATGCCACAGTATTTGCATAGCCCACTTTTGCCCAGATGCAGCTTCTGCCCAGATGCAGCTTATCCATAATATTCATCTTGCTTTGTAGTTTTTTTGTCCTCTTGATAACTTGGGCATGGATAGATCCAGGATGGAGTCTTTCCTTAGACAGCGTTCTGCTATTTTAGTAGGCTTTTATCCACCTGCAGTTTCATGGCTTCTGTTTGGCCAATCACCTCTCAACATGCATTCATTCTTCACTATTACTGTGTCTCTCTGAAACATAGCCATGGTTACCAGACGAAATTCAGAATTCCTAGTTAAATGTAAATTTTAGATAAGCAGAAAATAATATTTAGCATAAGTATGTCCCAAATTACTTCATGGGATATACCTAAACTAAAAATCATTTATTCTTTCTCTCTCATTCAAATTTTACTGTGCAGCAAGCACATGTGTAGACCACACATGCACCTTTGGCCCAGCTTGTCACTTAGGTCGTTACTCATCTTATGCCCATAAATTTTCCTTTTCCTCAGTCTTTGCATTTTTCTTTTTTTTTTGAGACAGAGTCTTGCACTGTCACCCAGGCTGGAGTGCAGTGGCACACTCTCCGCTCACTGCAAGCTCCGCCTCCTGGGTTCACACCATTCTGCCTCAGCCTCCTGAGTAGCTGGGACTACAGGCGCCCGCCACCACGCCCGGCTAATTTTTTGTACTTTTAGTAGAGACGGGGTTTCACCATGTTAGCCAGGATGGTCTCGATCTCCTGACCTCGTGAACCGACCGCCTTGGCCTCCCAAAGTACTGGGATTACAAGCGTGAGCCACCACGCCCAGTCTTGCATTTCTTAATGCCTCCTTAGATTAGCTCCATCTGAATGTCCCATGGCAAATTTTCATCTTCCTTCTCCTCTGCTCCTCCCCACCAAATCCAGTCTTCGGTCTACAATTTTCTCTTTTAGTATTTTTGTTCTTCTTACTACCTAAGCTTAAATTATTCATATGGACTCCTCCTCTTCTTTCTCCCTCCAATGCATGTATTTGATTATTTGCTGAATCTTGGTCCTGTTTGTGTCCTCTGTAATTCTCCCTTCTATCTTTACCACTTTTGCTGCTTTTTTTGGCTCTGGTAACCTCACCCTGGGGTTTGTCCAGTAGTCTTCTAATTTAATGGCTTTGCCACTTACAATGATTTTAGACAATAGCTTAACTAGAGCAAGCTCACTTCCTCATATATAAATTGGGGCTAAACGTGCCTATTCATCAGAGATCTTGCTAAAATAAAAAAGAGACCATGTGTGCAAATATATTGAACGTTGACCAGCACTTAGTAGGTGCTAAAGAAATTTTCCTAAAATGCCATTTTTCACAAACCGTTATCCTTCTCATGGTACTGCAGTGGCACTCAAGTTCCTGTGGGGTACACAAATGTCCTTGAACTTGCCCTCAAGCCTCTCCAACACTGCCACACTTTTCCAACTTGGTCTTGCAAAACAGGAACCCACCACTCAAACCAAATTTTCCTTCCCAAGCAAACTCTGTTTAGTCTTACCTCAGTGTGCTTTTTAAAAATGCTGTTTTCTTTTCTGCCACTTGACCTCTAGCTTCAGTTCCACATGGTCCTTGAAATCCCTTTACTAGCTCAGCCCCCTCTTTTTATTCTCTGTGAAAGATTAAGATATCTTACAGTCAAAATGAAGGTGTCCGCCGCTTCCCCAAATGGGTGGTTTCTGACTCCACTAGCAAAACATTCCTTATGGAGCAGAGACTGTAGTCCCATAAGTAAGAGCAGCCACCATATTTTTATTCTGCATTAGTCCTGGCCCTCCCCCAAAAGTGTATTCATTTTCCAGCCTATGTGAATAATCAACATTAATTATAACCCAGGAGACTTCTACAACAGTACCAATAGTATTATTAGGTGTATTATAGCTTTCAGTGACGTCACATGGTATTTGGGTTTCTCCTAGACTTACTGTGGCTCACGTAAAGTGAGATGCTTGGTTAATAAAACACTTCATATAATTTCATAACTAGTAGGTCTCAGCAAACACTGATTTAGTCAGTGAATAAATGAAAAGCAAAGAAGGGAAGAAAAGGAGGGAGAGAAAGCGACTGGTTCTTTTGTTGGCTGTAGAGCAAGGGTTCTTCTCTACTGGGGAACAGTTTTGTCTGCTAATGATGTTTGGCAATGTCTGGAGACATTTTTGGTTGTCATGACTCAGGGGAGAGGTGGGGTCGGTGCTATTGGCATCTAGTTGATGCTGCTTGCCATCCCACCATGCACAGAACAGCACCCATAATAAAGGATTATCTGAACCAAAATATGAATAGCGCTGGGTTGAGAAAGCCTGCTGCGGAGTAGGAAGTCAATAAATGTTTCTCTGTCGGAGGATAAATAACAACGACAATTCCTGAAACACTTTAAAACTGTTTTAAAGGAGGATGACACTGACCTTTTCAGAACAAATTAAGTAAAAATAAAATTCACAAAGAACAAACTGATACAGCTAACTAGAATTGTAAAAATGTATAGTGAGCCAGGCGCAGTGGCTCACGCCTGTAATCCCAGCACTTTGGGAGGCCGAGGCGGGTGGATCACGAGGTTAGGAGATCAAGACCATCCTGGTTAACACAGTGAAACCCCGTCTCTACTAAAAATACAAAATAATTAGCCGGGCGTGGTGGCGGACGCTTGTAGTCCCAGCTACTCGGGAGGCTGAGGCAGGAGAATGGCATGAACCTGGGAGGCAGAGCTTGCAGTGAGCTGAGATTGTGCCACTGCACTCCAGCCTGGGCGACAGAGCTAGACTCTGTCTCAAAAAAAAAAAAAAAAAAAAAAAAAGTATAGTGTACGAAGATGAAGTAAATGGAGTAATTATAACAGAGTGAAATCAGAGTTACTTTTTAATTGTATTTTTTTAATTGACATATTCATGGGGTACCTAGTGATATTTTGATAAATATAATGTAATCAGATCAGGGTAATTAGTATATGCATTATCTTTAACATTTATCACTTCTTTGTGTTGGGAACATTTAATATCCCCCTTCTAGCTATTTGAAACTATATATTATTGTGACCTGCCGTCATCCTACAGCGGTATAGAACCCCAGAACTTATTTTTTCTATCTAGCTATAACTTTGTATCTTTTAACAAATCTCTCCCTATTCCTACCTCTCCTTTTTCTCCCCAATCTCTAGTGTCCTCTCTCCTACTTTTTACTTCCATGAGATTAACTTTTTAAGATTCCACATGTGAGTGAGAACATGTAGAGTTTAACTTTCTGTTCCTGGCTTATTTTGCTTAACCCATAACAATAGTCATGCGTTCTGTTTTCTGACATGTTCTTTCCCCCCGTTTTGTCTTAATAGTCCTTCCTCTACCTAGCCTGGTATATGACTATGTCTGTTCTTGGACACTATAACAACTTTTTTTTTGCCGCTCACCTTCTCGACATTGCTATGGGATTCAAGACATTAAGAACCATCTTGTCCTCAGTAACTCACAATGGCAAACAGGTAAACAGTTTATCTTTTTCCTCCCTTGCAGAAAATAAAAAAGCAACAAATAAAACAAAGAAAAATAAAACTACCCCTCAAATGACAATGTACAGTTTTAAAGATTTTTTTGAAGGGAGGGTCTGCACCTGTTCTAAACTGCAGGGATTAGTAGTTTGAGGGTCTCCTAGGCCTATACTCAAGCCTTGGCTTGACTTTGGATAAATTAACTGAAAATAATAAAAGTACATACCTTACCAGATTTTTGCGAAAATGAAATAAAAACAAATGTGTATGCCTTAACACAGCCCCTGGCCCATATCAAGCACTCAGGAACTTAGTTATTATTTTGTTCCTAGTATAGTATTTGCTCCACTTGCTATTATGGAGAACCAAAATAGGTTACAGAATCCTGACCCACTCATTGTATTCGTTGTAAAATATGAGATGCTGCATTTTAATGTAGTATTTTTAAGCTGGATATTCATGTACTCTTTACTTTTAAATTGAGCAAAAAGGATAACGTTTCATATTTGACAAGGTCATGCTGACTCGGAAGAAAACTGGTCTAGGTCCAGAAAATGCACTTACGTTCCAATGGAACCTGTTCTTAATGTTAAGACTTCCCATTATCCTGAAGCATATTGCAGAAGTGTGCACTGATCCGTTCACTTGCTATTTTTCAAGTGTCCACTGGGTGGCGACATATTCTGTGTTAGTTATTTGGCTTAACAGACTCCTTCATTTCCAGAGTCTTGTAGCCCAGCACATTTTAAAATAATTGCCTCTCTAAAAGCTTTGAACTGGGTCCACAGTTAAGTCCACATTATCATCAGTTTTCTAAATTTCAGCATGATTCTTACATATGTCACTTTAGGTTCTGAGTATGACTGTGACGTGCACGGCAAGTCATGGGTCTAGCGACAAAAAAGTCTATTTATCTGTCAGTTAATAAGATGTGTTTGAGCTCCCAGGATATGCAGTAAAGAACTGGAGATGCCAAATGTATGTGTGTTTCTACATAAAAGGTCCGGCACTACTTTCCATTTCTGAGCTTTGTGGGGTTTCTTTTTGAGGGATCAAATTTTCTTTGTTTGTTTGTTTTTAAGACAGAGTCTTGCTCTGTCACCCAGGCTGGAATGCGGCGGCGCGATCTCGGCTCACTGCAACCTCCGCCTCCCTAGGTTCAAGTGATTCTCCTGCCTCAGCCTCCCGCATAGCTGGGATTATAGGCGCGTGCCACCATGCCCGGCTAATTTTTGTATTTTTAGTAGAGATGGGGTTTCACCATGTTGGCCAGGCTGGTCTCGAACTTCTGACCTCAGGTGATCTGCCTGCCTCGGCCTCCCAAAGTGCTAGGATTACAGGCATGAGCCACCCCACCTGGCCTCAAATTTTCATTTGCAGAAATATGTAGAGCTTTATAGTCCTAACAGGTGAAACATGCAGAAATTCACAGTAACCTTGCACTTCATTTATAGAAATGAATGAAACCCTCTGTTAAGGTAACATGTTTTCTCCAGATAATTATAAAGTGATTTTGTAAAGACTTAATCAGCATAAGCAGTTGCAGTCAAGACCATAAAGATGTGCTGTAATCAGAAAAAGTACACATAAAGATAAAGCACTGTTAGTATGGTCGAATTTCTGTGATGAAACCAGAAATACATTTTCACCAACTGGGTGAAAAGCCACATTTTTAGCATATACATATTCTATCAAAAATACTCTACAATTCTATCATATACTTATAGCTATCCAAAAATTAAAGTATAATTTGGAATTAAAAACAGATTACATAGAGCTGAAAGACCTTTCAAACAGAGACATTTAATTATAGATTGAGAAAAATAGCCTTCAAAACAGTGTTGGTCACTAGCTGTGGTATTTTTCACTTTGGCCATTGTTTACAAAGCAAGATTTCTCAGTTTTAAAAAATATTTATATTATACCTTATTACTAGTTGTGTGTCCCCAGATTTCAGGGGCAATACAAATTTCTATTTAGTTTAGGATATGATTGAAAATTTAAAAATAATTTACAGTCATAACAAAAACGAAATGCATTTTATTAGGAATGTAATTTATAGAAAATAGCCCTCATAAAATGAAGAAAGGGCCGGGCACGGTGGCTCACGCCTGTAATCCCAGCACTTTGAGATGCCGAGGCGGGCAGATCGCCTGAGGTCGGGAGTTCGAGACCAGCCTGACAAACATGGAGAAACCCCATCTCTACTAAAAATACAAAATTAGCTGGGTGTGGTGGCGCATGCCTATAATCCCCACTACTCGGGAGGCTGAGGCAGGAGAATCGCTTGAACCCGGGAGGCAGAGGTTGCAGTGAGCTCAGATTGTGCCACAGCACTCCAGCCTGGTGACAGAAACTCTGTCTCAAAAAAAAAAAAAACAAAATAAAATAAAATAAAATAAAATAAAGTCTGACAACTTGATAAAGAGAATATGAAAATAAATGTCTGCATGAGGGGGCTAAGAAAGGTGAGAAATAAGTTATGGATCCCATTAGCTTCTAGTAAACACGGCTGTGTTCTCACTAGAGCACTCGCCGCCCATGTAGATGTCACGTGTCAATTGTATGTCCTACATTTCTAATACCTGGTCCTTGTCACATTGTTTTCCAGCTCGTATTAACCGTTGGCTTATTAGCTGTTGTTGTATACCTATACACTGTGGTGGCATTCAATTTTTTCCGAAAATTCTACAATAAAAGTGAAGATGGTGATACACCAGATATGAAATGTGACGATATGCTAACAGTAAGTTCATAACCTTTGATCTCACATAAACAAAAATGTCTCCTGCTTCTGCAGTCTAAGTAATTGTGTATTTATTCTCTAACAGTACAAAATAGAAAATAGTCTAAACAAATAAAAAGTTGCAGGGCTGTTTAAAGATTCAGCAGTTTTCAATTTTAGCAGAACATAAAGGAGCATTTCTGTCAATTTTCCATATGTGCTGCACAGCCTAATAATTAGAATTGCTGAGTAATGTACTTAGAACTCGAAGGAGTAATGTCATCACTTAAGCCTGTTGTTCACATATCCCAGGACAACGGGTAAAACTATTTCCCAGAGAACATTTGGAAGCCTTAGTTTTTTGTTCACCTTAATGACTTTAACTGAAATTACTAAATTTCAAAAATATATCTCTTCCTAGAACTACTGGTTTTTGCTTTTATATTGAGTATCTTGGCTTAAATGTCTTTTTTGGTCTTGGTTTTCAAAAATCAACAGCTGTTAAAGCTTTCATATTGCTTTATATCGCTGTTCTACAACCTGTCTCTCTAATATTGGCAGCTGAGAGGTAATCATACATGAGATCTTAGATCAGGAAGGGGAACATGAGACAAAATATATATCACTAGCTGGAAAGAGATGTATCCTTCAGTAAGCTCCTCACGAAAATACCTACATCATTTGTGTTGGGGATGTAGGTATAGAGGCTGATATAATGATACATAAATTACTCTAGAAAAAATAGCCCAAAAGATTGATGAGAATGACCAGTATTACAAAGACTAACAATTAAGATAATTTTATACTAAAGAATGACAACTCAGTGGGACAGAGTAGTTCAGAAACAGATGCAAATACTCACGGAAATTAAAAGATGATAAAGATCTTTTGAAGTAATGAAATGAAAAATAATTTAATAAATGACATTAGTACCATGGACAAGCTATTTGGGGGGAAATGATAAAAATGGATGCCAACCTTGCTTTTTAAATAAAAATAAATTCTGAAATGAGCATATTTTAATGCAATAAGAAGGAATAATCACAAGACAGAATTTGATGCCTTAAATAATAGTAATACTCATTTTTACATGGAGAACGGTCTGAGTATGACATAAAACTCAGGATCTATGAAAGCATAAACATTATTTGAAAAAAGAGCAACTATAAATAAAGTCGTAAAGGCAAATGGTAAACTGGGAAAGATATATTTAACACCATAACAAAGGGCCATTTTCCTTAATCTACCAAGTCCTTATCACATCAATAAGAAATAAGCCAATAGAAGAACAAGTAAGTCACATGACCAGACAATTCACGGTAAAATTAATTCAGTGGGCTTGCAAATTTGAAAAGACGCTCAGCCTCTGTCAAAGTGAAAGAAATGCAAATTAAAACAATGAAAAAAACACTTTTTACCTATCAGGTTTGCAAAGTATTCACGTTTGTTAAAACCCACAGTTGGTGAATTGATGGGAAAAATCAGCATTTTCATGACTCTGGTTGGGAGGTTGAATTGACAACAATTTTAGAGAAGTTTTGTGACACCTATCAAATTTTTAAGTATATATATCCTTTGACCTATTAATTCCACTGCTAGTACTTTACCTAAAGGTTTACTCACAAACAAGCCTCTGTATGTTCAAGAACATTAGCTGCCCTCACAAGCTAGGAATAATCTAAATGATCATTAGTAGTGTCCTGATTAAGTCAGTTACGATAAATCCATAACAAGTATGCATCTGTTTGAAAATGAGAGAAATTCATGTATACAGATATGGAGAGATATATAAATTACATTTTAATTAAATTACATTTAATTTAAAAAAACAAGATCTTGGATCAGTAATGATAGGATCCTAATTGTGTGAAATTATATATACACAATAATTCATATTTTTGATATGCTGGAATATGCATAACATTTTTCTGGAGGGATTTATTCATAGGACACTGTGAACAAGGATTCCTACAGGGGTAGGACCATAGATCACAGGGGAAAGAAACTTGTTTGCTTTTCATTTTATAGACTTTACTCCTGTCTGAATTATTGATACTATTTCTTTTTACCATAGGTATTTTTTTATTTTTAAAAGCCTAAGACAGTTTTTTCCCCACCATGTTATAGAAGATAATCTGCCTTCAGTTATTCCCACAATTAGTATAACTACATGCAGTGACTGTTCCCTGGCAGGGAGGAGAGAACAGAACATACAGGTGGCTGACCTGAGGGAATTAAAGGACAGAGGTTGAGGGAAGCTCTGCTGAAACTCGATGTTACATTTTGATCCACTGCCTGTTCTTGAGCCATTTATTTATAGCCCAAATCTCTTATTTGTGTAAAGAAGTTTTTCTGTATTTAAAACTTTATCATAAATGATCATTAATATAGAATTGCCCATCCTTTCTCTCCTTTAAACAAGTATTCTTTTATTTACTAATTTAGAGAGCTTCAGACAAGATTGTCATTCTTTAGCTTTTCAATATTAAGCATTTTGTTCTCTTCCCAACTTTCTTTTTAATAAAAAAAATCTTAAGAATAAATAACTCTCAAATGAATTGCAGGTTAGTTAAAAATTGGGGATACATAATAGCTTGCTGACATAAAAATATTCACTTTTCTTAGGTCAAGATTAAATTTTCGAAGGCTTGGAACTTCAAAAAGGGATGCTTTTGATGGAGAATGCAGGGGGAAAAAGCTTTCAACTCATCCTTCCACACATAGTTGACAGCAGAGCAAATCATATTGTTCATGTGAAAATCATCTGTAATTTTCAACATTTCCTGTCACGATTGCCGTTCTGAGGTGTTTCACATGTGACTTTGTGGTTTCCACGTGCTAGTGACCTACTTGGAGGACACGGAGTATCAGAGCTGAAAGGACTCTGATGTTCATGGTTGTTCATCCATAAACTTAATTCCTCAACTGGAAGAAAATGCCATCCCAGTTACAAATCCACAGTCTTGTAGATTTTTTTTATTTGTCAAGTGCTTATATAGCACTTGGCTATAAATGCTATTGTCCCAGGCATTGTCTCAAGAGCTTTACAAATATTAACTCAGTAGTCTCCTACCAACTTTCTGCTGCAGGTTGGCACTGCTATCATTCCCATTTTACAGATGAGGAAACTGAGCTACCAAGAGTTTGAGTAACTTGTCATAAGTCACACAGTTAGGAAGAGGTGACACTCTTCAACCAGTACTCTAAGTTACACTACCTCACAGATAGTAACTTCATTCATGCTTCTGTCATTAATTTTAGTGCTATTTTTATACCAGGCACTCGTTAAGGATAAGGCTTGAGTAAGTACAGTCCCTGCCTTCATGGAATTTGCATGGTAAGCACCTTTCTAGAAATTCTGCTAAGCTCGTTCTTTTTTCTGGGATCCTCCAAGAAAAGAGTGCCCCAGAAATTCCAGAAGTTTTGGAAAACCTTGTGGATCAGTATTCCTATCGCATACAGAACATTTAATATACTATACAAAAATAGTGGATTCAACATCACTGCTCAAATATTGCAATTGAGAAGTTGCTTTAGGTGGCTGGCTACTAGACAGGGAAATAGAAATAACTTATTAATGTCACATGATACCACAGGGTGGAAGATATTGATACGGACATAGATCAAGTGCCTTAATACTTGAGATCCATTTTAGTCATCATAAGTTGTCATGACTGAGATGTAATACTTACTTACATTTGCTAGTCTTCTTCTCCGATTAATTGCTGGACAAATAATTCATGCACCTTGCCTGGAGCCTCCTCCCTGACTGCCTTTCTATCACCCCCTGATTTGGCCCACCTGCCCACTTCTTAAAACCATCTCCTATCCTTCCTTTTGCTGCTTTTCTCGCACCACAAAGCAGAGAAAAATGTATAAGTTTTTTTTTTTTTTTTAACTTACAGCAACTGTAAGAAAACTGGATTCAATGCAATAAGACTGACCCGTTACTAGTGACGACTCTCCATCAGAGTCACTAACATGCAACACTTTACCCCCTCCTCCCACGCCTATTCATTCATTCCAGGCCTAGGGCTGAAGATGTGTTAAGGATCCTTCATCTCCTCTTCCATGCGCTGCCTTTAATATCAGCTGTGCTCAGAGCCTTTCTACCCTGTGACCCTGAAGGCAGGAGGGGAGTGGGAGGCCAGGAAAGGCTACAAGGCACAAGGGAGGTGCAGAAGGTAGCAGTAGCAGGTACATTGCCTGCAGTGACTTCCAGGAAATTCAGTTCTATTCTAGGACAAACACCCGACAAAATTTATAAATCTCAATATCTACCAGCCTCAGGGCAGAAAGTTTACTTAGGTTATGTATTCCTAAAGGCTATGATGCTCAGAGAATTGCTAAAAATTAATAGAAAAATAGGAATGATTTCAGATAATGGCATTCAGTGACCTGTATCAGGTAGTGAGAACAATATGTGACTTTAGATCTTCCTTTTGTACCACAGGGAGACCCCAGCAACATCCTGGTCTCTCCTTTTATTATGCAGTCGTCATAGTTGACCCCATTCAAGTTGTAATCATAGGATCCTTAAACGACTACATTTTGAACCTCACTCTCAGTATGCATTTCCATTACTTTTGTTAATTTTGCTTAGGAAGACAACTGCCTTCACCTGGTTGATTTTGCCTAATTTCATGGGGGCATGAATACAGAAGACAGAGAAACTTGGTTCCGGTGAGGAAATACGGCCTGTTGATGTTCTGAACTATGGACTTAGCTAGAGCCTAGATTTTTTTCAGTTTGAGGGATTTCTGTCCTCATGAGTAAGACTATTTATGACCAGCTCTGTTGTAGGTTTTTATATCTCTACACATAACAATAAACTTACTATCTTGTCTTTGACTGGGTTGAGTATATGTCTTAGATGTTTCTTCCCTGCAAGAGAAAACTCAGTTCCAAGACACAAGCCACTTTTTCATCCCTAGCTCATTCACAGTGACGGGCTGCTGCCAATCAGTCAAACCAGACAGGAGTCTGTGTAGCATTACACACGCTCATATCCCAGTAATTGTCCCTAAAAACTCCCACATGGGAATGGAGGCCACATTACCTAGATTGACATTCCAATTGTAGCGTCCAAACACTTACTTTTAATTTGCTTCTTACCAGTACTTGTGCAGGGGCTTCTTTAAAAAGCCAACAAAATTTAAAATATAACTGATCACTTAGAGTAGTGCGCTTTCAAAGTACAGGCTTATTAAAACCAGCCTGCCAGCAAGAAAGCAGCACAGAATAGGAAACAAAGATTTAATTTCTTTAATTTAGTTCTCAAAAGATGATCCTTTCTTTATGACAGTCTCTTGAACGTGTCCTTTCACAGGGCGATGTCTATATTCTCTCTTGAGATAAATTTTCCTCACTCATGTCACATTTTATTCACTTCATCCTGAGTTTCTTTGTTGTTTCTGGTTGTTTCTGTGGCTCTGAGAGAACATCTTAGGTTTTGCAAATAGGCAACTCGCCCTCCTGTTTTTCATAATTTACAGTAGGGGGCGCCATAGCTGCAGTGTTATAGACAAGTCACAGGGGGATTTTTTTTTTTTTCCAGATTAGGATGTTTTGAGCCTGAGAATCTAATTAAACCAGCAGTATCCTGATAGAATTTGAACCTCCTCTACAAGAATGTAGGAGGAGAAAGAGAAAAATGATGTAAAGTCCAAGGTAGAAAGATGATTGTGGCTAGATAGCCAGGGAGTCTGACTTGACATATAGGACGATGTTCATCTCAGATGGAGAGGGACCCCCTGAACCAGAGGCTGCAGGGGAAGGTGTCAAGACTTATGCACTTTGGGAAAAATAGCTTTCCAGGTGATTAAGATGAAAAGTACACTCCTAGGGAAATAAACTTGCTTAGGTAATTGTTCTAAATTACCTCACTTAATTGTTGTCACTTACTTTACCCTACTTTCCCAACAAATAATCTGCTCCTTTTTTCTTTTTTCTTTTTTTTTTTTTTTTTTTGCCAAGATGAAGGCCTGATAAGGATCTTCACCAGCAGCTGACCCTCAGTGTTCCCTAAAGCCAATAGAAACTATGATCAACCTCAGAATGAATCTGTTTAGGAGACGGATGAGGGAGGGAAGCCACAGACTATAACATCTTGGAAATCAACAACTTCCTCTTCTAAATTTTTGTAGGACCAGGCACCTTCCTTCCTCATTACTCAGATTGTCTGAAAGAAGCACATCTTTTTGTCTCACAGCATTACTTCTTTCCACCTCCAGCTCTCATTATCAGGTTTAGGCTGATTCTATGAAAAGAAAGGTGGATAAAAGGATTTTCAGTTGCAGCAGGATAATTTGGTAGCTGAAAGCCTGACAGCCATGTATTGGAAGTTATTCACCACATACCTCCTATTCCAGCACCACAGCCAACTACATACAGTTGTCTAAGGCTGACCAGGTAGTAAAGGATGAAGCTGGGAAAACCAGTATCAACATCCCACAGGTGAACTGTACATTTTATTCTTTTTAAATTTGGTAATTTATTAAGCCTAAATAATCAGATGCACAAGACTGTCTTTTCAGCATGACTGTTAAGTCCACTACCGATCTCTGCTGGAATCCCTTCATCACAATGCATAAAGCTGATGTAAAATGAAGGAGAGCAGTGAGGAAGGGTATTTCCAGGAAAGGTTGTTAGATGGCTGACAAGAGATCTGCAAAGAAGGAGACATTTTCTTTGGTAATTTAGCCTCATTCCTTGGTCCTGTCTTCAACATTACATGTCTAGAAACTACAAGTGAATCATTCTTTTGGGGACAGACTCACATTAACCAGTATTACATAAGCCTGATGTACGAGTCAGAATACCAACATGCTACTCATTAAAAGTTAATGCAACAAGTTGGCACATTCTCTTCCCTAGACAAACACCTCTATGGGAAGCCAAATTTTAACCCAAGACCCAAAGACTCCCAAGTGCAAGACCAAGAGTCTTGGTCAGCAGGAATCACCAAGAGGAACTGATGGATGATCAGTTCATCCATCAGTTGCTGGGCAATCTTAGCCACTAGTGCTGTCACACGCAGTTCCTCAAAGAAGCAGGGATGGAGAGCTAGGACATTCCAAGACCTGGACTGGGAACTGCACAATCCACTGTTGGCTCACTGTGGGGATTGGAATGGGGACCCAAGAGACCAGAACTTGACATGGAGGAGTACCAGTCCAGAACCAGGTATACTATCCAAACTGAGTCCCCAGAGAAATCCCCGGAGGAGAGTTGCAAACACAAAGCTACTTGTGAAGTCAGAGAAACGTGGGCAATGGGAAAGATGGTCTAACTAAAGAGGAAAGAAGCTGTGTTAACCACTCTTTGTTGATTTCCTGTAGTCACAATTAAATACATATGAAGACACAGATTTGGAGAAAAGCAATCCAGGCTAGGCACGGTGACTCAACGCCAGTAATCCCAGCAGTTTGGGAGGCCGAGGCGGGCGGATCACCTGAGGTCAGGAGTTGTTCGAGACCAGCCTGGCCAACATGGTGAAACTCCATCTCTACCAAAAATACAAAAATTAGCTGGGCATGGTGGCGGACACCTGTAATCTCAGCTACTTGGGAGGCTGAGGCAGGAGAATCGCTTGAACCCAGGAGGCGGAGGTTGCAGTCAGTAGAGAATGCACCATTGTACTCTAGCCTGGGAGACGGAGCGAGACTCTATGTAGAAAGAAAAAAAAAAAAAGGAAAAAAGCAATCCAGTTCTTAATAAAAGTAAGAAATGTGTGGTAAAACAAATTCAAACAGTATGCCTGAGTATATGGTGAAAATAGTTTCCCCTTCTCACAGATTCACTGTTAGCAGTTTCAAGCACCAAGTTTTGAAAAACTACAGCAGTAGCTTCAGGATATTTTTTTAAGTGATGGATGGTCTGTAAGATTTTACTTCCAGAGATTGACTCAGTAGGTAGTACCAGGAACCCAGAATGTTGCCACGTCCAGGAGACTCTGATATGAGGTTAGGCTTAGACCCTATCAGCCTAATCTGGCTCTAAGGATCTCCTGACCTTTCTGCAAAAGAGACCCCTAACCTGGGCTCCAGATCAGATCTTGGGTGGGCACTGGCTGAGCTGGCCTTATAATGCTCTTTATTATATGCCAGGCTGAGTCTACAACCATACGACCCTGAATGTGCCCAATCTCATCCTTGTATGCCAGGCTGATAAAACGTTTCCAAATGACACATTTAATTCTGTTCCCTAAATTCCAGCCATCTAACCCAGGAGACTTTTTCTCCTCTGCATCTAACAGATCCATCAGCTGTTGAACTCATAGTTGAACTATGAGCATTTTGATATCACCTTGTTGACTGCTCTTTGCCTACACATTGTGCTTTTTAAAGTGTCCTGAGAATGTGAGATCTGTGGGTTGAGGCAGTGAAGGCTCCTCATTCATCCCACAAATGATTTGAGGACTTACCATGTGCTGGACGTTATTTTAGGCACTGGCAACAGAGTAATAACCAAAGCATTTCTTGTTGGAATGCAGTCAGTCCTACTGGAATGAGATAGACACCAAAAAATAAGCAAGCTGGATACCCAAGTGTGGAATTCAAGAAAAAGATCCAGGCTGGAAATAGAAATGAGTATAATTGGCACAGAGATGATACTTAAAGCCATGAAACTGGGAAAGGTCCCCCAAGGGAGTGTCCTAAAAGTAAAAAGCTCAAAGAACCCAGTCCTGGGGCATTTGTTCATGAAGCTACAGGGAGATGAGGAAGATTTGGCAAAGGAGACTGGAAAGCAATGGCCAGAAATGAAGCGAAGCAGAGGAGTGTGGTGTTTCTGTGTTAAGGCTTTTGTCCCCATCATTCTGGTCAGCAGCAACTAACTAGGTTTTGAATTGATGGGTGACACATCCATTAAGTCAGGGTATCTGGAACAGTCTAAGAAAATCTCAGAGGAAGGATTATTAATTTAGGCCCTACAGGATGAGTAGAAATGGAGTAAGAATGGAAAAGCCTATTGCAAGAGAAGGAGAATGTACGAGCAAAGATCTGGAATCAGGAATAGTTCACTTGGAGGAGGTATGGGGAGAGCGGAGAGAGCAGAGAGGGAAGTTTTTGGGAAAGCTGAGTGTGGCTAAATTCAAGGCCTGAAAAAGGAGTTGGAACTTAGCTTAAATGAGGATAAAATATTGGATGCTCCAAGCCAGTGACTCAATCCAGCATGACTTCATTTGCCACCCCCTGCCCCAGGACATTTGGTATCTGGAGATATCTGTTATTGTCACTATGAGGTAGGGTGCTATTGGTATCTAAGGGGTAGAGATCAAGGGATCTTTTTAAAATAGCATACAGTGCACAGGATAGCCCCTGCCCAAGGAATTATCCAGCCAAAAATGTCACTGGTGCTGAAGCCAAGAACACTGCCCTAAAATGCACTTTAGTGAACCCCTCATTTTTTAGCAGTAGGCACAGGCAGCTGTACTTGTTGGTGGCTTTGACGTTTTAGGGTTTAAACAATAAGATGCTATTTCCTCCCCAGGTCTCCTCTCTTTTGTATTCTAGATATTAAAGTAGAAAATAATTTCAGCATCATATTTCATATATACTATGTGAGGGAAGGGTGTTAGTATGTTTTCTTCTAGCTTAATTTCTAAGATTCCATCTTATTACCTGACCTTTCCAATGTCTGTTATGTCCAAAATAACCAAACAATACAATATAGTTGTATGTCCCTGAATGTGTTCGTAATATGATTACCTCATTAGCACAGATGGTTCAGAGCCAAGATACTAGATACAAGATGCTAGAAAATTTTCCATTTTCTCCAAAGTGAGAGAGAAAGTGCTAGGCGGAGTATGCAGTATACACTTTTGTTTAAAAGACAGCAACATGCAAAAGCCAAATGTTTGCTTCACAACTAGAAATACTGAAACAAAAAGAGGCAATATAGAATGCAAAAATTCTCATTTCCAGAGTGAGGATTAGGAACTACAGAGATAACTCGGGTTTGTCGAGAAAAAAAAATGGGTAATGTCCCTCCAAGAAGTGATACCATGTCTTTTTTCCAGTGCTATATGTTCCACATGTATGTTGGAGTTCGTGCTGGAGGAGGGATCGGGGATGAAATCGAAGACCCAGCAGGAGATGAATATGAGATCTATCGAATCATCTTTGACATCACTTTCTTCTTCTTTGTTATTGTCATTCTCTTGGCCATAATACAAGGTAAGTATCCTCCTCACTGAAGCTGATGAACATCTAGAATTTGAGCCACATGTTGCTGAAGTTAATATTCAAGGTAGGGTAATGACGTCAAGTGTTTCCTGGCAAAGCCAAATCAAACTTTTCCTTCCAGTATTTCTTCATCATGCAATCTACCGGGGGAAATATAAAGCGGTATGGAACCCTGGTATGAAGGGAAGATACAGTGTTATTTTGTCTTCTTTCAAATAACATAATGGAAAAGGCACTTTCCTTGGTTTGATTCTCACCTCTGGGTTTCAGACTCATGAACCCCAGCTTTACAATCTTGGGTGGGTGAGCCATTTAACCCTTTAAACTTCTAAGCCAGCTGGGTGCGGTGGCTCATGCCTGTAATCCAAGCACTTTGGGAGGCTGAAGGGGGATGGATCACTTGAGGTCAGGAGCTCGAGACCAGCCTGACCAACATGGTAAACCCCATCTCTACTAAAAATACAAAACTAGCCAGGCGTGGTGGCACACAGCTGTAATCCCAGCTACCTGGGAGGCTGAGGCAGGAGAATTGCTTGAACCCGGGAGGTGGAGGTTGCAGTGAGCCAAGATCACGCCACTGCACTCCAGCCTGGGCAACAAGAGCGAAACTCCATTTCAAAACACACACTCAAACCCAACAACAACAACAACAACAAAAACTTCTAAGCCCTGTGGTTGTTGAGATTTTTAAAAATGACATACAGGCCAGGCGCAGGGGCTCACGCCTGTAATCCCAGCACTTTGAGAGACTGAGGTGGGTGGATCACTTGAGGTCTGGAGTTCAAGACCAGCCTGGCCAATGTGGTGAAACCTTGTCTCTACTAAAAATACAAAAATTAGCCTGGTGTGGTGGTGTGAACCTATAATCCCAGCTACTCAGGAGACTGAGGCAGAAGAATCACTTGAACCCAGGAGGAGGAGGTTGCAGTGAGCAGAGATTGCACCATTGCACTCTAGCCTGGGTGACAAGAGCAAAACTCCATCTCAAAAAAAAAAAAAAAAAAAAGGTGGGGGAGGGAGGGTAGCTGGCAAGATGGCCAAATAGGAACAGCTCCAGTCTGCAGCTCCCAGTGAGATTGACGCAGAAGGTGGGTGATTTCTGCATTTCCAACTGAGGTACCCAGTTCATCTCACTGGGACTGGTTGGACAGTGGGTGCAGCCCACAGAGGGTGAGCAGAAGCAGGGTGGCGTGTCATCTCACCCAGGAAGCACAAGGGGTTGGGGGATTTCCCTCCCCTAGCCAAGGGAAACTGTGAGAGACTGTACCAGGAGGAATTGTGCACTCCAGCCCAGATACCATGCTTTTCCCATGGTCTTCGCAACCAGCAGACCGGGACATTCCCTCCACTGCCTATGCCACCAGGGCCCTGGGTTTCAAGCACAAAACTGGGTGGCTGTTTGGGAAGGCAGCAAGCTAGCTGCACAAGTTTTTTTCATATACCAGTGGCACCTGGGATGCCAGCGAGACAGAACCATTCACTCGCCTGGAAAGGGGGCTGAAACCAGGGAGCCAAGTGGTCTGGCTTGGCGGGTCCCACCCCCACGGAGCCCAGCACGCGAAGATCCACTGGCTTGAAATTCTCGCTGCCAGCACAGCGGTCTGAGGTTGACCTGGGATGCTCCAGCTTGGTGGAGGGAGGGCATCTGCCATTGCTGAGGCATGAGTAGGCAGTTTTACCCTCACAATGTAAACAAAGCCACTGGGAAGTTCGAACTGGGTGGAGCCCACTGCAGCTCAGCAAGGCCACTGCAGCCAGACTGCCTCTCTAGATTCCTCCTCTCTGGGCAGGGCATCTCTGGAAAAAAAAGGCAGCAATCCTAGTTATTTACTTATAGATAAAACCCTCATCTCCTTGGGAGAGAGCACCTGGGGAAAGGGGTGGCTGTGGGTTCAGCTTCAGTAGACTTAAACGTCCCTGCCTGACAGCTATGAGGAGAGCAGCAGATCTCCCAGCACAGTGTTCGAGCTCTAATAAGGGAAAGACTGCCTCCTGAAGTGGGTCCCTGACCCCCATGTATCCTGACTGGGAGATACCTCCCAGTAGGGGCCGACAGACACCTTATACAGGAGAGCCCTGGCTGATATTTGGTGGGTGCCCCTCTGGGAGGAAGCTTCCAGAGGAAGGAACAGGCAGCAATCTTTGCTGTTCTGCAACCTTCACTGGTGATACCCAGGCAAACAGGGTCTGGAGTGGACCTCCAGCAAACTCCAGCAGACCTGCAGCAGAGGGGTCTATTAGAAGGAAAGCTAACAAACAGAAAGGAATAGTATCAACATCAACAAAAAGGACGTCCACTCAGAGACTCCATCCGAAGGTCACCAATATCAAAGACTAAAGGTAGATAAATCCATGAAGATGGGGAGAAACCAGCACAAAAAGACTGAAAATTCCAAAAACTGGAACACCTCCTCTCCTCCAAAGTATCACAACTCCTCGCCAGCAAGGGAACAAAACTGGACGGAAAATGAGTTTGACAAATTGACAGAAGTAAGCTTCAGAAGGTGGGTAATAACAAACTCCTCTGAGCTAAAGGAGCATGTTCTAACCCATTGCAAGGAAGCTAAGAACTTTGAAAAAAAGTTAGATGAATTGCTAACTAGAATAACCAGATTAGAGGAGAACATAAATGACCTGATGGAGCTGAAAAACACAGCACAAGAACTTTGTGAAGCATATATAAGTAGCAATAGCCGAATCAATCAAGCAGAAGAAAGGATATCAGAGATTGAAGGTGACCTCAATGAAATAAGGTGAGAAGACAAGATTAGAGAAAAAAGAGTGAAAAGAAATGAACAAAGCCTCCAGGAAATATGGGACTATGTGAAAAGACCAAATATACGTTTGATTGGTGTACCTGAAAGTGACGGGAGAATGGAACCAAGTTGGAAAACACTCTTCAGGATATCATCCAGGAGAACTTCCCCAACCTAGCAAGGCAGACCAACATTCAAATTCAGGGAATCCAGAGAACACCACAAAGATACTCCTAGAGAAGAGCAACCCCAAGACACATAATCGTCAGATTCACCAAGGTTGAAATGAAGGAAAAAATGTTAATTAAGGGCAGCCAGAGAGAAAGGTCGGGTTACCGACAAAGGGAAGCACATCAGACTAACAGCAGATCTCGCTGTAGAAACTCTACAAGCCAGAAGAGAGTGGGGGCAAATATTCAACATTCTTAAAGGAAAGAATATTCAACTCAGAATTTCACATCCAGCCAAACTAAGCTTCAAAAGCGAAGGAGTAATAAAATCCTTTACAGACAAGCAAATGCTGAGAGATTTTATCACCACCAGGCCTGTCTTACAAGAGCTCCTGAAGGAAGCATTAAACATGAAAAGGAACAACCGGTACCAGCCACTGCAAAAACATACCAGATTGTAAAGACCATTGACACTATGAAGAAACTGCATCAACTAATGGGCAGAATAACCAGCTGGCATCATAATGACAGGATCAAATTCACACATAATAATATTAACCTTAAATGTAAACAGGCTAAATGCCCAAATTAAAAGACACAGACTGGCAAATTGGATAAAGAGTCAAGACCCATTAATGTGCTGTATGCAGGAGACCCATCTCATGTGCAAAGACACACATGGGCTTAAAATAAAGGGACTGAGGAATATTTACCAAGCAAATGGAAAACAAAACAAAACAAAAAAGCAGGGATTGCAATTCTAGTCTCTGATAGAACAGACTTTAAACCAACGAAGATCAAAAGAGACAAGGGCATTACATAATGGTAAAGGGATCAATGCAACAAGAAGAGCTAACTATCCTAAATATATATGCACCCAATACAGGAACACCCAGATGCATAAAGCAAGTTCTTAGAGACCTACAAAGAGACTTAGACTCCCCAAAATAATAGTGGAAGACTTTAACACCACACTGTCAATATTAGACAGATCAATGAGAGAAAATTAACAAGGATATCCAGGACTTGAACTCAGCTCTGGACCAAGCAGACCTAACAGACATCTACAGAACTCTCCACCCCAAATCAACAGAATATACATTCTTCTCAGCACCAATTCACACTTATTCTAAAATTGACCACATAATTGGAAGTAAAATGCTCCTCAGCAACTGCAAAAGAATGGAAATCATAACAGAGTCTCTCAGACCACAGTGCAATCAAATTAGAACTCAGGATTAAGAACCTCACTTAAAACTGCACAACTACATGGAAACTGAACAACCTGCTCCTGAATGACTATTGGGTAAGTAACAAAATTAAGGCAGAAATAAAGATGTTCTTTGAAACCGATGAGAACAAAGACACAACGTACCAGAATCTCTGGGACACATTTAAAGTAGTGTGTAGAGGGAAACTTATAGCACTAAATGCCCAAAAGAGAAAGCAGGAAAGATCTAAAATTGACACCCTAACATCACAATTTAAAAAACTAAAGAAGCAAGAGCAAACAAATTCAAAAGCTAGCAGAAGACAAGAAATAACTAAGATCAGTGCAGAACTGAATGAGATAGAGAAACGAAAAACCCTTCAAAAAAATCAGTGAATCCAGGAGCTGGTGTTTTGAAAAGATCAACAAAATAGACAGACTGCTAGCCAGACTAATAAAGAAGAAAAGAGAAGAATCAAATAGATGCAATAAAAAATTATAAAGGGGATATCACCACCGATCCCACAGATATACAAACTACCATCAGAGAATACTGTAGACACCTTTACACAAATAAACTAGAAAATCTAGAAGAAATGGATAAACTCCTGGACACATACACCCTCCCAAGACTAAACCAGGAAGAAGTTGAATCCCTGAATAGATCAATAATAAGTTCTGAAATTGAGGCAGTAATTAATAGCCTACCAACCAAAAAAGTCCAGGACCAGACAGATTCACAGCCGAATTCTACCAGAGGTACAAAGAGGAGCTGGTACCATTCCTTTGAAACTATTCCCAACAATAGAAAAAGAGGGAATTCTCCCTAACTCATATTATGAGGCCAGAATCATCCTGATACCAAAACCCGGCAGAGACACAACAAAAAAAGAAAATTTCAGGCCAATATCCCTGATGAACATCGATGCGAAAATCCTCAATAAATTACTGGCAAACCAAATCCAGCAGCACCTCGAAAAGCTTATCCACCATGATCAAGTAGGCTTCATCCCTGGGATGCAAGGCTGGTTCAACATACGCAAATCAATAAATGTAATCCATCACATAAACAGAACCAATGACAAAAACCACATGATTATCTCAATACATGCAGAAAAGGCCTTCGACAAAATTCAACAGCCCTTCATGCTAAAAACTCTCAATAAACCTAGGTATTGATGGAAGGTATCTGAAAATAATAAGAGCTATATATGACAAACCCACAGCCAATATCATACTGAATGGCCAAAAACTGGAAGCATTCCCTTTGAAAACTGGCACAAGACAAGAATGCCCTCTCTCACCACTCCTATTCAACATGGTGTTGGAAGTCCTGGCCAGGGCAATCAGGCAAAACAAAGAAATAAAGGGTATTCAATTAGGAAGAAAGGAAGTCGAATTGTCTGCAGATGACATGATTGTATATTTAGAAAACCCCATCATCTCAGCCCCAAATTTCCTTATACTGATAAGCAACTTCAGCAAAGTCTCAGGATACAAAATCAATGTGCAAAAATCACAAGCATTCCTATACACCAATAATAGACAAACAGCCAAATTGTGAGTGAACACCCATTCACAATTGCTATAAAGAGAATACCTAGGAATACAACTTTCAAGGGATGTGAAGGACCTCTTCAAGGAGAACTACAAACTACCACTTGAGGAAATAAGAGAGAACACAAACAAATGGAAAAACATTCCATGCTCATGGATAGGAAGAATCAATATTGTGAAAATGGCCATACTGCCCAAAGTAATTTATAGATTCAATGCTATCCCCATCAAGCTACCATTGACTTTCTTCACAGAATTGGAAAAAACTACTTTAAATTTCATGTGGAACCAAAAAAGAGCCCGCATAGCCCAGACAATCCTAAGCAGAAAGAACAAAGCTGGAGGCATCACACTACCTGACTTCAGACTATACTACAAGGCTACAGTAACAAAAAGAGTATGGTATTGGTATGAAAACAGATATATAGACCAATGGAACAAAACAGAGGCCTCAGAAATAACACCACACATCTACAACTATCTGATCTTTGACAAACCTGACAAAAAGAAGCACTGGGGAAAAGATTCCCTATTTAATAAATTGTGTTGAGAAAACTGGCTAGCCATATGCAGAAAGCTGAAACTGGATCCCTTCATTACACCTTATACAAAAATTGACTCAAGATCGATTAAAGACTTAAACATAAGACCTAAAACCATGAAAACTCCAGAAAAAAACCTAGGCAAATACCATTCAGGACATAGGCATGGGCAAAGACTTCATGACTAAAACACCAAAAGCAATGGCAACAAAAGCCAAAACTGACAAATGGGATCTAATTAAACTAAAGAGCTTCTGCCTAGCAAAAGAAACTATCATCAGAGTGAACAGGCAACCTACAGAATGGGAGAAAATTTTTTGCTGTCTATCCATCTGATATACAGCTAATATCCAGAATCTACAAAGAACTTAAACAACTTCATAAGAATAAAACAAACAACCCCATCAAAAAGTGGGTGAAGGATATGAACAGACACTTCTCAAAAGACGACATTTATGCAGCCAACAAACATATGAAAAATAGGTCATCACTGGTCATTGAAGAAATGCAAATCAAAACCACAGTGAGATACCATCTCATGCCAATTAGAATGGCGATCATTAAAAAGTCAGGAAAGAACAGATGCTGGAGAGGATATGGAGAAATAGGAACACTTTTACAGTGTTTGTGGGAGTGTAAATTAGTTCAACCATTGTAAAAGACACTGTGGTGATCCCTCAAGGATCTAGAACTAGAAATACCATTTGACCCAGCAATCTTATTACTGGGGATATATCCAAAGAATTATAAATCATTCTACTATAAAGACACATGCACACGTATGTTTATTGGGGCACTGTTCACAATAGCAAAGACTTGGAACCAACCCAAATGCCCATCAATGATAGACTAGATTTTAAAAAGTGCCACGTATGTACCATGGAATACTATGCAGCCATAAAAAAAGGATGATTTCATGTCCTTTGCAGGGACGTGGATGAAGCTGGAAACCATCATTCTCAGCAAACTAACACAAGAACAGAAAACCAAACGCCACATGTTCTCACTCATAAGTGGGAGTTAAACAATGGTAACACATTGGGGGGCATCACACACCAGAGCCTGTTGAGGGGTTGGGATAGCATTAGGAAAAATACCTAATGTAGATGACAAGTTGATGGGTACAGCAAAAACCACCATAGCACGTGTATACCTGTGTAACAAACCTGCACGTTCTGCACGTGTACCCCAGAACTTAAAGTATAATAAAAAAAGGACATACATTCAAGTACCCAGTCTAATACCTGATGCATAGTCAGTGCTTTATAAATAATTATAAAGCTATTAATAGTATCATTGTTGAATACCTACTATCTGCCCAGCACATGTATTAACTAATTTTACCATTTCACCAACCTTATGAGAATGGTGCTCTTATTTTATGCATGAAGTAACTGAGCCACAATAAGTCTAAGGAACTTGGCCAAAGTGCACAGCTAAACAGGGCTGGAATCCATCTATACCCAGGCAATCTGCATCCAGACCCCTTCAACCACGGTGCTGTATTGACCCACTAGCTCTTCCTTTTACTTCCGGGCAACTTGGAGTGTGGTGTTTTTCTCTCTCAGAAAAGTCATGTTATCTTTTCCGCTTAACACATGTATCCTGGCTTGAATTAAATGTCTGTAAATGTGACAATCTCTTTTAAGTTCCACAGACATCAAATGACACTATTTTTTAGTCAAATACCATGGACAAGCTTAAGGGACTCATAATTCATTCATTGTGCTCTTATTGAGTGTAAAAATAACGTGTTTTCTAAGAGGGCAAAGTTATAACTTCGAAGAAAGTGTGAAGCCAGCAGGTCTCAGGAGGGAAAAGGAGCTTAAAACAGCTCAACACAGTGTTTCTGATTGTCACAGTCAATGAAATTATGGAAGCTTACTTATAAGGGACTTGTGAAAAAAGTGATTTGGGGCCTGGCACCATGGCTCATGCCTGTAATCCTACCACTTTGGGAAGCTGAGGCGAGAGGATCGCTTGAGCCCAGGAGTTTGAGACCAGCCTGGTCAACAAGACGAAACCCTGTCTGTACAAACAGAAATTATCAGGGTGTGGTGGTGTGCGCCTGTAATCCCAGCTACTTGGGACGCTGAGGCAGGAGGATCGCTTGAGCCCAGGAGGTTGAGGCTGCAGTGAGCTGTGATTGCACCACCGCACTCCAGCCTGGGTGACAGAGCAAGACTGTCTCAAAAAAAAAAAAAAAAAAAAAAATGACTTGACTGGGCATGGTGGCTCACGCCTGTAATCCCAGCACTTTGGGAGGCCGAGGCAGGCGGATCACAAGGCCAGGAGATCGAGACCATCCTGGCTAACACGGTGAAACCCTGTCTCTCCTAAAAATACAAAAATTAGCCAGGTGTGGCAGTGTGTGCCTGTAGTCCCAGCTGCTGGGGAGGCTGAAGCAGGAGAATGGCATGAACCCGGGAGGCGGAGCTTGCAGTGAGCCGAGATTGTGCCACTGCACTCCAGCCTGGGTGACAGAATGAGACTCCGTCTCAAAAAAAAAAAAAAAAAAAAAAAAAAAAAAGACTTGAGGCAGATTTCTTCGTTTAAGTGGTGATGTTTCATTTCTACATTAGTACTTGAAAAATCTGATTAGTGGAGTTTTCTGTACTTATAAATCTCAGCTGCTCTTTTTCGGCATGAAGTATGTAATAACATCTGTATATGCCAAGTTAACAAAAGGTTTTTCCTGCTGTCACTTCATTTTAAAACACTCTTTTCAGTGAGTGTATGTCCCAGTAACTGCACATACTTCTGTCCCCAAAGACAGAACACCGCCTCCTTTCTCCTAGGAGTATCGGATATGTAGTCACGTTTACCATGTTCTGAGCATTTTGCAAGGTAGTTGTACATCTCCCCTTTCCCTGGGGGGATTAGCCAAGGAACTGAATTATTCATTGCTTGATAAAGATTAAATTGTGTTTTTATTTAACACCAGGTCTAATTATTGATGCTTTTGGAGAACTAAGAGACCAACAGGAACAAGTCAAAGAAGACATGGAGGTAAGCTTCTCCATTCATGACTCAGCTTCTTTGTTGTCCTGGGCCCTCGTTTTCCTCACTACCTTTATCAATAGAATCATGAATGTGGGAAGGAGGAGGGGGAAGGGCACAACTTGTGGTTTCACTGGCGTGTTTTCCATTCAAGCAATACATATAGTTGAGCTGCGTGGTCGGCTGAAATTGTGGTGGACGCCACATGCATGCAAACAGCGATAGGACACCATCCTTTCCCTCCAGAAGTGGAGAGACTATTCATTCGAAACCAAAGATTCAATGACAAGTAAATAGATGATTACAGAGCAGTGTGGTGAGTCCTTTATGGGAGTAAAGCCCTGGAGTGGTAGGGTCTCTAGGGCTGGTATCTGATTCACTCCTGGATGGTCAGGGAATTTCCTAGAAGAAGGGATGTCTGAGCTGAGGCCTGAAGACTGTGGAAGTCTGTGGGTTTGATAAGGAGAGAGGAGGACAGTTTGGGCAACCTCCCAACCCCTTCTCCCACACCATGGACATCTCCAGGGGTACCATTCACAGTGGGACCTTTGAGCCCATCACCACCTGAAATTATATACCAAGACTGATTTTAGGGAAGTTGATGTGCAGGTTTTTTTCTTAGCAGCCTCAGTGCTACCAGATGCAGATTAAATTCTGATGATGAGGCTGGAGAGGAATACCAGTGAATGAAGAATATAATCACTCATTTGAGAAATTTACAGTTTAATATGTGGGCTGTGGGAAGCAAGAAAAGGGCTTTAAGCAGAGCAGCCAGATGATCAGATTTGCATTTTAAAAAGATAACTATGGTTTAAAATGTGAGGCATGAAGTAGAAACTGGCAAGAACAGGGACAGGGAAGTGGGCTGTCAGCATTTTCCAGGTGGGAGATTCTGAAGCTTTTGCTAGAGGTGGCACATGGGAGTTGGGCAAGTACTGCCTGAATCCATCTAGTTTCTGCATCCTCAGCGAGGGACTTGGTGACTGACCAAATGGAGAAGATGGAGCAAGCAAGGGGATATCCAGGCTTCAGGCATTAGCCACCAGATGGATGGTGGCATAGTTAGCTGACCTAGGGAACCCAGAGGAAGAACAGGTTCATCGGTAAAGCTGATGAGTGTGATTTGAGCCACTTCAATTTAAGAGACATCATTGGAGTGGTATGAAGACCTGATCGATTGTTCTCCCCAGTTGCTCAATGTGACCTATCAGCTGTCAGCAGTTGTTGATCAGTAAGGCAGGAAGAATTTTATACACTATTATAATCATCTTGATTGTAGTTCCTAAAATACAGGGTCTCATAAACATGCTTCAGATGGCATAAAACAGCTTACAACTGGCAGGGAAGGATGAGCACCAGAGTCACATGGGACAATTATTGAATACATTGCTTCTCCTTGGGTTTTGTGGACCAGGCCTGTCTGCAAGGGGCAGACCTAAGCAGGTGCCCCTCTACAGGGTGCTTAGGAGAGGCGTGGTCCAGAGAAGGTGGAACCAAGAGGACCAGGAATCTGGTCCCTAGTGCCGAAAGTTGTTCTCCATTCACATCCACTGGCTAATTCTGTACCTAGCACAGCACCTGGAAGACCCTTGCTAAACTGTAGATGGGATGTCTCATAGCTTGGTATTTGATTTGGCCTTTTCTAAAGGAAAGTAATCTGTACCTATTCCCCCTTGGTCGTCCGACTTTGTTTGGGTGGGTACTAAGTTTGTAGTTTCAGTTGAAGACACAGTTAATCCTGCTTAGATAACTTTAGTCAATGTCATGAACAAGAGTTGATCACTAAGCCTGGACATTTTCACCTAGGCTAGAGAAAGGAAGAGACGTTGCTTTTCAGCCATCATCATCATCATCTTGTTCCCTGTCTGCGTCTGCTACTTCTTGCTGCTGGTACCTGTGTCATTTAAGCCAACACCAAGATATAGTTACAGCGACAGTTCCATTTATATTCGTGGGCTTGGCACAGCCTCCATGTGATGATCTTTGACGTGTATTGAGTGAACCAAATAATAGCTGCCCCTACATGGCGAGTTGTGTTTTCCTTTTGTTTTGCTTTCTGAACTCTGACGTTAATATTTCCCTTTGTTTTCTAGACCAAATGCTTCATCTGTGGGATAGGCAATGATTACTTCGACACAGTGCCACATGGCTTTGAAACCCACACTTTACAGGAGCACAACTTGGCTAATTACTTGTGAGTGTGCCCGTTTCAGAATCTTCCACCTCTCCAGTAGACGCCACTGGTCCCTGCCCATCTCAGAATAGAGAGGAAGTTTTTGTTTATTGTTTAAAAAATAATTGCTGCAGATACTTTAAAAGAAAGTCCAACAGCTAATGGCTCTCTTTTCCTCTGGAGTAGGTTGACTTAAGAGGTTAAGTTGCAGCTCTTCATGTAAGTGATGCTTTCTAGAACTTGAAATGAAGAGGTGGACAGGGAGGAGCAGGGCCTCTGTGGGAGTCTTGGTCATGTTTCTCATTTTAGATAGGAATTCTTAGGCTGCTTCCTAGGGAGATGCGAGTCTCCGTTTTTCTTCTTACAGATCTTAAGAGGACTTTCAGATCTCGTCAGGCACTGTTGGATACCAACTTAAAAGCTGCATTTAAAAAAATATTAATACATAGAAATCTTTCCATTACTCGAGATTAGCCAAAAGTATAGTTTGGTAAAATGCTATTCTTACTCATTTTCCGACCCAATTTTAGTATCAAACAGAAGAGATGCCGAGTAGCATTATAGGGAAAAAAAATTGGCTTAACTATACTCAGTGGAACTTGATCAGTAAATTACAACTTCTCATTAAGCTAGTCTTCAGTTCTAATTCATCAGTGTTGATTTGATTCTGACCAGTGTGTATATTCCTAACTTGAAGCCTCTAGGGTCAAATAGCAACAGATCAGAAAAGTCAGGTCCACAGCCTTTCCTCTTTCTGGTACACTAATTTTTCCAAAAATTTGCATGTGGCGTTTTCTCTGTGCTGGCCATAATTGATTGCAACCATACAATTTATCTAAATATGCCCTGTTTATCCTAATATTTCCATACCGTTCATTTCTGATCAGTTTCTCTGTATCTGTAGGTTTTTTCTGATGTATCTTATAAACAAAGATGAAACAGAACACACAGGACAGGTAGGTAAATTATTACATGTCATCTTCTGAAAGAAATGATAGAGAAGCTCTAAATATCAGAACAAAATGTGTGCATTAAACAGTGAGGCACGGAATTACTTTCAGATATTAGTTGTGGTATCTTGATGTAAAGTTCCTGTTATGTTGAATGAGTATGGAAAAGATTGCCTTTGTTAAAGTAGAATTCTGTACTAAGTTTATGTAACACAATAAGCTTTTACTAACTGAAAATGCTGGATTTGAGTTTTGAATTCCATTATTTTGAAAAATTGAGTTCTTAATTATTGCATAATGTCTTTGTTTAATCAGATAGATGATTTCCAATGAACTTCAAAGTATTATGTACAATGCATGTTAAATGCCTAAGGTGTTTAAGCTATTTGAAATTCCTCTTCCACTGTGCAGATTGTTAGTAGTTTGAATTTGAAGGATACGATATTTTAAGAGAACCCTCAGAAGCATAAATGTATATATATACACACACACATATATTTTTTGAGACAAGGTCTTGCTGTTTTGCCAAGTTCAAGTGGCATGATCAGGACCTACTACAGCCTTGACTTCCTGGGCTCAATAAATCCTCCTGTTTCAGCCCCACAAGTACCTGAAACTACAGGCATGCACCACCACACCTGGCTTTTTTTTGTGTTTTTTTTTTTTTAATTTTAGTACAGACAAGATCTCTTATGTTGCTCAGGCTGGTCTTGAATGCCTGAACTCAAGCGATCCTCCCACCTCAGCCTCCCAAAATGCTGGGATTATAGGCTTGAGCCAGTGTGCCCAGCCAACATATTTTTATCATTATAATGGTCAGGATGAAGATTATTATGAGACGTTAAGGTCTGGTATAGTTAGTTAGGAACCATCTAAATTAATGTGGACTTCTCTATTCCGTGCGATATAGGTAACAGAATTGAGTTTCTACCTTATGTTTTGTTAGCACACACTTTGGGGAAAATGTTAATACATTTCCTTGACTTTTGCAGGAATCTTATGTCTGGAAGATGTATCAAGAAAGGTGTTGGGAATTTTTCCCAGCAGGGGATTGCTTCCGGAAACAGTATGAAGACCAGCTAAATTAAACTCAGACCCAATCACCTCTAAAAACCAAAACCCTACCCCTCTCTCTCCCTCTCTCAATTTCTCTGCTCTCTTGGAAACATTTTGCTGATTTTGTGAATTGCCAGCGTTGTGTGTTTTCTGGGAGCATCGAAGCTCTGTTTCGGAAGAGCTGTTTCCTCCCCCCACCTTTTGTATTTACTTTGAGACTAAAGACTGAAGAATAATCTAAATTCATACTCAGACAAAAAAAGGAATTCTGGAAAGAAAACCATTCTGGACACTGTCATAACACACATAGATAGATTTTCTTCTGAGACTCCCGGAGTCTTCTCGAGCTACGAGACCTTCACAGAGACACGTGGCAGCCACACTCACCCAGCCTCTTTATTTCACCATCCTGGAAGGAAACTGTCTGTCTAATGGTCACAGAGCACTGTAGCACTTAACAGATTGCCATGGACACCAGTTGCGAAGGGAAATAGTGCCTTACTATATGTGGGTTGAGCTATGCAGAAGATACGTGCATGAAAAAACATCTTTATTTTCTTTATGTCGACCTTTCTTTTCTTAGATTGATTTTGTGAGGTTTTTTTTTTTTCCTTTAGTCTTTTCTTTAGTGGGGGAGGGTAAGAAAAGCAGTTTGCACTTAAAAAGAAAAAAAAAAAACGGGTGGTGTGTCTCAGGACAAAAGGAGGCTCTTCTCATTCAGCTAAATTCACATTTGCCCCCCCCCCCCGCCCCCGCCCCCATATGCTCCTGCTATTATTTTGGTAATGCTCTGATGCAACATTGCAACTTTATGAAATCTTTGTATGAAAACAAAAAGACTGCAAAAAATACACTTTCAAAAGAAACCATTCATTGCATGTTTATTATGCAAGTTTAAATGAACAAAGAAAACCTTCAGAAACAAGTTGATCAACGTGAGAGAAATTTCATGATAATTATTCATAGTAATAAAGTGTCGTGGGCTTAATTGTATATCTGGAGCCAGTGTCATCCACCAACAATGTGATACAATATGAACTTGACAGTAGTTTTGGGTTTTGCTCATTCTTTCAGCCACCTGTGATCAGTTTTGTTGATTAAGGACTTCTTGTCAGGCCATTTTTTAATATCAAAGCTGAAGCAATATCCATTCAGGGATTTCATCAGTTGCATCACAAAACACGGATGATAATATACATCACTCCATTTTTTCCATTTTGAGTCCTTTTAAATGTAATGCTAACCTTTACAATTAAAAAGTCAGATTCAGAATGGAAACAAGGTCATTTTGCAAACATTGGAGCTCTTTTATTACAAGTCTGCTTGTTAATTTTAGAACTGTAAAACCGCTCTGATTAAACTATTTAACTAACTTTCTCATCCTCTTCTTTCTCCATTTAAAACTTATAACTGGGACTCATAAAATCTTGAGCTTCTAACTTGAGGTGGATATAGGACAATCCTAAACACTGCACTGAGACCTTTAACGCTGTCAGATTTCCTGGTACCTCTAAGACTGTTGTGTATATAATTGTGGGGCCTCAGAGTCACCAGGCACCTGGCCCACCCCTGTCATTTCCCTGTTATATGGGTCAGCCAGACCTCTTGAAAACCTCCAATGACAGAAAAAAAAGATCGCTATCTCCCAGATTATTTAATTTTTATATAGCTCTCATTTTTGAAAGCTCTTCCTTGCTCAGGGCAAATTCATTTCCTATAATAATAGGAGTTCATTTTCTGTCTTAATATGAAAGAGAATCGGTACCCTAGCATGTGGTGTATTAAACATTCAAAACCCAATTGAACATTTGCTGTGTGCAAAGTGCTGCTGTGGGTACCGGTGACTTCTCCGTCATCTTACACCTCACCAGCACAACATCACGGTGCTAGTATCTAGATTTTGCCTTTTGTCTTCTGGTATCACTTTTATGTGGGGGAAGAATAAATTTGGCTGTACCATAGGAATTTTCAAGACTGTTCAGGGCGGTGATCTGATGCTCTGAAGACTCTGAATAAAATAAATGAGGTCAGCTCCACAAAACATCAAAGAGTGCACTGCCATTTGCCAGGAAACACTGCAGAGCAAGTATGTAGTGGAAAGGAATGAATATTTTTCCAGGACATAAAGTCCACTGATAGATTCAGATGTTCTAGTTATAATGCTCAAATCAGAGGTGACACAAAGTAACAGTACAGGTGGGAGGTGAGTAAATAAACACATAGCTGCCCCTAGATTTTGCAGGCTTTTAAATAGGCTTTCCTGACTGCCCAGCTCTAAAGTTCTGGGAGAAAGAGAGAGGCTGGGATTTGGGACACATACGTGTTGAAGAAAGAGTAAAGGAACAGCTGATTACTGGAGAAAGTCACACTTCCCAGCCTCCTCACTGGCCCACCATTAGAGGAAGACTCCTCTTCCTTTCCTTCTCAAGGCCTCAAAAGAGAAGAGGAAGCTTTTCTTTATCAGCATGAATTCCCCCAGGAAATGTCTCAGTGAATCTCAAACACAGTGTAGCTCTCCACTTCTCTAATTTAACTCAGGACTGCGTGACCCAAAGTCAAGAAATGGAATCCTTTTAGAAATACTAAATCAATACTCAAAGATTCACCCCAAAAAAAACATAATGAACACACACATATCCCTATTCTCAACTACAACACTTACAAACATCATTCTGCCCCTATTTCATCTGTTCCTCTCTTTTCCTTAGAAACATCTTTTGCATCTACGCCATAAAATAAGTTTATATTCACAATTTAAGTTGAAGATTTCCAAATGCCCCCGGTCATCACTGTCCACTGGTACTCCTCGGATGGTCATTTTTCGTGTGCAGGAGACAGTTTGTTCTCAGTCCCTCAAGAACTCATTTAAAAGTCATATTGTAATGAAAATACTTTGACTGTAAAAATTATATCTTGGGAAATTATACATGTATTCACTATCTTGCTTCACCAGGGAAATGTTCATATTTTTCTGAAGCTCCTGTTTTCTTGGGTGAATATACCAATTCGATACCTGTTGCTGTTAAGGTGTTTGGGTGGCTGTCAGTAGTGAGTGCCTCATTTACTCTGGGCACAGTGAAAGAGAACTTTTTGAAAATTACACTTACATGGAATTCAGGTAAACTTGACATGGAACAGGCTGGAACAGTTAGACATTCCCCAGATTATTTCATAAATCTCCATTGTGTTGTGAAGGGAATGACCTGTCTCCCTCCTGATAAGGTTTCTGCCCAGCACTCAAAAATGTCTGGATAGCGACTGGTTAAATGGCATCCAAATCTTGATACAAGTGCATGGGTGGAGCTAGGGCCTTTTAATAGCCATAAATATTAACAGCACACATCTCTCACAGAACAAAGTTCAGTATCCTTTCATCTAAAATGGTATAATTTAATTGTATGGCTAATATGAATCTAAAGCAGGTAATTAAATAAATCCTTAAAGTTTCATGTTCCCAAAATCACAGTTTCACCTACCAACCCTGCATGCCCATAATATGTTCCAATTCCTTTCATAAGTTTTATATTTATTTTCTTCCAGGAAACTTATGAACTTCATGTATGCGCATTCTATCTTCATTAAGCACTGCTAAATAGGCCTTTTAATTTTTATTCATAGGAAAAAAGGAATCTTTTTATAGGCCTGGTTAACACCATAAAGTATAACAACAGGTAATGATCCTAACATGAGCAATACTATATTAGTGTGTAAGCAGAAACTATTATTTTTAAGAAAAGACCAAACCTAAAAGTTGTTCCACATAATTTGAATTACCTGCAGTTGAGCCTCATACTAAAAAATGTATTAAAATTAGATATACATAACATTTTACATGTAAATTCAGAAATGTAGATATAGGCCGATGTAATGTCAAGAATAAGAGTAACAGATGACCTTGAAATGATAAGACTCTTAATTGCCAGAAGGAGAAATTGGAAATATCTACTTAAGCTTGTAATATTATGACCAAGCTACTCCCACCTACACAAAATGAAGATGAATGAAACAGAACCCTTGTCAACAGGAGTTAGTAAAAATTCATGGCCCGATTATTGACAGTTGATTCTTCTTTTATTTTACATGCAAGTAGAAGAAAATCAATTACTTAAGCAAGTTTTTTTTTTTAAAGCCAGTGAGAAACTGGTAGAGACTCTTATGGTTTTGTTTAAAGAGTATAAATTATGAAATGAATTCCTACATTTTAAAATGTCATGAAGAGTAAGTGCCAGAATGAGTTGAGCCTAAATGCTACACACACAAAACTAAATAGTTTAGCCTATAATTCCAGCACTTTGGGAGGCTGAGGCGGGTGGATCACTTAAGCTCAGGAGTTTGATCACCAGCCTGACCATCATGGCTAAACTCCCGTCTCTACTAAAAATACAACAATTAACGAGGCATGGTAGCACATGCCTGTAATCCCAGCTACTCAGGAGGTTAAGGCAGAAGAATTGCTTGAACCCGGGAGGCAGAGGTTGCAGTGAGCTGAGATTGCACCACTGCACTCCAGCCTGGGTGACAGAGCAAGACTCCATCTCAAAAAAAAAAAAAAAAAAAAGAAAGAAAAGTTTGTATTCCATACTTGGCGTAACAAACAAGAAAGGAATTGTTCCCTGTTTATCATGGGTAGTGTCTACAAGATATCCTCTTAGCTCGGGTTCTCATGACGCTAACCTGAGGCAAGGATTGAAGTAATTATGCTTTCTTGGGGCCACTACAACTGCAAGTATGAGGAAAGCAGGGTATAAGTGAAAGACGTGCAGCAATGAAAATGAATGCATGAGTACCCTAGCTGCTGTTCTACCACGAGCCAGGAAGAGCAACAGAGCTGTTCAGCAGGGACCTCCAGTCGGCACGCTGGAGCTTCACAAGGCATTCTGTAAAGAGAAATAGTGTCTTGGAGTCGTCCATTGGAGGGATAAAGAATGAGAATGAATCTGCTACTTGTCTTTCATCTCTTGTTTCTTGTTGGTCAAAGGTCACCCTAAGGCACAGCAAGTCCCCATCCAATGGCTAGATGGAATCATCTGACCTCTAGGAGTTCATTCTGGATACTGGATCCATACCCTGTGGTAGGCAGTTATAGCCAAGGCTGGTAGTAGCAGAAGAGCCAGAAACCCTGGGTGCAGCTGGTCAACCTAGCTATATAAGGGGATCCAAAGGGCCCAACATGCCAAGGACAAGAGACTGGGCAGCCCCAGGCGGAAGAACCATGAAAAATGTCTGGTGCAGGAAGCAGAGGTGGAACCAGTGGCTGGAGGCCCAGGAAGCAGGTGGCACCAATGAAATCTGAAGAGGCACAAGAGGTTTGAGTCTGAGGCAAACGTCCCTCACATGATTTTTCTTTGGCTTTTTATACGTTTTAAATATTTAACAATAAAAAATGAGTGACAGGGAAAAAATAGCTTCTAAGTTTGGATAATATGGAATAATGCTAACATATCACAGAACAAAAAAAAAACTATCATCTACTTCTATTTCCTCCTAAGAGAATGGTACAATTAGTTGTATAAGAAAACATAGATGGTCCACTCAAATTTAAAAAATACAAATTCCCAAAGACATTTCAGAAAAATAAAAGTTTCGATTTTGTTCCAAGAATTGATACAACCACTTGTTAGAAGCAATAAAAGGATAAATTTTGCCCAACTTTACAATGGTCTTCTAATACTTCTGCCCAAGAGTAGGCTAGGCCACTTTGGATGGTTTAGTGCTCCCATGAGAAGTGTTTAAGTACAAGCTACACAGTAACGTTTCAGTATTACAGAAAGCATGCTCAGTTTAGATGCATAAAAATCATCTGGAGGCAGCCAGAGGGAACAGCTCCCACCCAGGGACCTCGATGACAGGTGTGTTCCTAACAGATCTGCAGAGGGAGGGCACCCAGAGTGGATGGAGGGAAGACACAAGCTGGGCTGAAGGGGAGAAAGTTGGGAACACTGTATGAGGCTACTGTACATTGGAACTCATTCCTGGCCCGCAAAGACTCTGGGGGAATGGGTCAGTTGAACTGGCAAGGAGCAACCCAGTCTTGCCACAGGCCTCCAGAACCCCAGCAGAAGGAGACCCCTTGACCACCATGAACACTCAAGTTGGCAGGGAGAGCTGCTTAGAGAAGTGGTAAGGGCAACAAGTCAGCTGATGTGGAGCCCAGAGGGTTTGGTGCAGGAGCATTTGTAGCAGAGCTCAACCAGGGACGGCTATCCCCCTAGGCATGGCTCACTCCCATAGGAGACTTTAGCCCTAGGGGAGCTGTCTGATCTGAATTCCGCAGGGCAGTCTTGCCCATCATAGAGGGCCAGATCAACCTGAGCACCCTTTGGTCTGCTGGCCTCTCCTGGGGCCCCAGCCTGGCCATGCCTGCTTGCAGGGCAGTCTCAGGTGCCCTGGGGGCCTGCATCATAACTTCTGCACTGGCAGACTTGCCTGACCAGTGGAGAGCTCCAGCATGGCGGAGCCTAGAGGAGGGTCCCCATAGGGACCTTCTCCCCATACTGCGGCTTCCCCTAGGCCCATGGCAACTTCTCACATCTCCTTGCTGACACATGTCTTTGTGGGCAGGTTTTGCCATCCTTGCCCCGCCAGCACACAGGAGTGCAGTCTGCCCTCCCAGCTTCATCATCTGCCATTGCAGATGAAGCTTTGGTGGGCAGAAAGCCAGCCAGCCCCACCATCACCTTACCCTTGTGCTAACACTGTGCAGAGAACAGCAGATCCTCCCAGCTCCCTGAATGACCACTCCTGTTTACAGGGCGCAGAGGGGCCACCCAGACTTGGGTCCACCAGCGCCCTCCCCCTGAGCCAAGACCACCTCTACTGCCACTGCACACATAGTTGCCAGCAAAGGCCCCCATAACTGGGTTGCCTCCACCACTCTGGTGAGTGCCTGCAGAGAGGCAGGCACCCCAGAACCCGCTAGCACCCTGGCACCCACTAGTACTGCAGCTGCTGCTACAAGGAAGGATTCTGCTGTCACCACACTATGAAACACTTTGGCTGACAACATCCTTCAGAGTATAGTGATCAGCGGTCTAGGAGCACCTTGGCCCCCCAAACACAGCAGATTTCTAACTCCAAGGAGCCAGAGAACAATCTCGGGGCCCAACACAAGTCCCTCAGAGATAACGTACAGCAGTTTAGTAGTTGGGAACTGAGTGCTGGCACCCTAAAAATCTTCCAGAAATGAAGCCAGTTGGCTGAATCCACCTTATTATACCACAATCAAATCCTCAAGCTCATGAGATAGGATAAAAGAAAAAAACCATCCATAGGTCAGCAACCTCAAAGACTGAAGGTAGATAAGCCCACAAAATGAGAATGAATCAGTACAAGAACCCTGACAATTCAAAAAGCCAGAGTGCCTTCTTTCTTCCAGACAACCACATCACTTTTCCAGCAAAAGCTCTGAAGCAGGCTGAGATGACTGAAATGACAGAGCTAGAATTCAGAATATGGATAGAAAGGAAGATTATTGAGCTACAAGAGTGTGCTGAAACCCAATCCAAGGAAGCTAAAGATCATAAAACAGTACAGAAGTTGACAGACAAAATAGCCAGTATAGAAAAGAATGTTACTGACCGGATAGAGCTGAAAAAACACAATACAAGAATTTCATAACACAGGTGCAAGTACTAATAGCAGCATAGCCCGAATGGAGGAAAGAATCTCAGAGCTTGAAGACTGGCTTTCTGAAATAAGACAGTCACCCAAGAACAGAGAAAAGAATAAAAAGGAGTGAACAAAATCTCCAAGAAATATGGGATTATGTAAAGAGACTAAATCTATGACTCATTGGTGTCCCTGAAAGAGATGAGGAGAATGGAACCAACTTGGAAAATGTAATTCAGTATACGATGCAAGAGAACTTCCCCAACCTAGGTGGAGAGGCCAACATTCAAATTCAGGAAATGCAGAAAACCCCAGTAAGATATTTCACAAGGAGATCATCCCCAAGACACATCATCATCAGATTCTCCAAGGTAGAAGTGAAAAAAATGTTAAAGGCAGCTAGAGAGAAATGTTAGGTCACCAACAAAAAGAAGCCCATCACACTAATAGGGGAATGCTCAGCAGAAACGGTATAAGCCAGAAGAGACTGGGGGACAATATTCAGCATTCTTAAAGGAAAAAAACTCCAACCTAGAAATTCATATCTAACTAAACTATGGTTCATAAGCAAAGGAGAAATAAGATCTTTTTCAGACAAGCAAATGCTGAGGAAATTTGTTATTACCAGACCTGCCTTATAAGAGCACCTGAAGGAAGCACTAAATATGGAAAAGAAAGACCATTACCAGCCACCACAAAAACACACTGAAGTATACAGACCAGTGGCATTATGAAGCGACCACTTAAACAAGTCTGCAAAATAACCAGCTAACATCATGAAGACATGATCAAATCCACACTTAACAATACCTTGAATGTAAATGGGCTGAACACCCCAAATAAAAGACACATAGTGGCAAGCTGAATAAAAATCCAAGACCCATTGGCATGTTGTCTTCAAGAGACCCATCTCATACGCAATGACACATAGGCTTAAAATAAAGGGATGGAGAAAAATCTACCAAGCAAATGGGAAACAGAAAAAAGCAGGGATTTCAATTCTAGTTTCAGACAAAATGGACTCTAAAGCAACAAAGATTTAAAAAAAAAAAAAAGACCAGGGCATTATGTAATGGTAAAGGGTTCAATTCAACAAGATCTAACTATCCTAAATACGTATGTAGCCAACACAGGAGCACCCAGATTCATAAAGCAAATTTTTTGAGACCTACAAAGAGACTTAGACTCACACACAATAGTTGTGGGAGGCTTTAACACCCCAGTGACAATATTAGATCATCAAAACAGAAAATTAACAAAGACATTCAGGAACACAGCAGTGGGTCAAATGGACCAGATAGACATCTACCGAATTCTCCACCCCAAAACAACAGAATATACATTCTTCTCATCACCACATGGCACATACTCTAAAAATCAATCACACAACCAGAAGCAAAACACTCCTCAGCAAATGCAAAATAATTAAAATAACAATCTCTCAGACCACAGCACAATCAAATTAGAAGTCATGACTAAGAAACTCACTGAAAACCATACAATCACATGGAAATTGAATAACCTGCTCTTGAATGACTTTTGGGTAAATAATGAAATTAAGGCAGAAATCAAGAAGTTTTTTGAAACCAACGCAAACAAAGATAAAACATCCCAGAATCTCTGGGACGCAGCTAAGGCAGTGTTAAGAGGAAAATTTAAATAACTAAATGTCCACATCAAAAAGTTAGAAAGATCAAGTTAACAACTTAACATCACAACTAAAAGAACTAGAGAGCCAAGAGCAAACAAATCCCAAAGATAGCAGACAAGAAATAACCAAAATCAGAGCTGAAGGACACAGGTGCATGTGCGCGCACACACACACACACACACACACACACACACTGAGATCAACAAATCCAGGAGCTTGGTTGTCTGAAAAAAATCGACCACTAGCTAGACTAATAAAGAAGAACAGAGAAGATTCAAATAAACACAATCAGAAACAACAAGGGGGATATCACCACTGACCCCACAGAAATACAAACAACCATCAGAATATTATGAACACCTCTATGCAAATAAACTAGAAAATATAGATGAAATGGATAAATTTCTGGACACAAACACCCTTCCAAGACTCAACCAGAAAGAAATGGAATCCCTGAACAGACCAATAGCAAGCTCTGAAATTGAGCCAGTAATGAATAGGCCTACCCACCAAAGCCCAGGATCAGACAGATTCATAGCTGAGTACTTCCAGATATACAAAGAAGACCTGGTACAATTCCTGCTGAAACTATTCCAAAGAATTGAAGAGAAGGGACTTATCTCTAACTCATTCTATGAAACCAGCATCATTATGATACCAAAACCTGGCCAAGACACAACAAAGAAAACTTCAGCCAATATCTTCGATGAACATGGATGTAAAAATTCCCAACAAAATACTGGCAAACTGAATCCAGCAGCACATCAAAAAGCTTATCTACCACAATCAAGTAGGCTTTATCCCTGGGATGCAAGGTTGGTTCAACATACACAAATAAATGCAATTGATCACATAAACTGAACTAAAGACAAAAATCACTTTTTATCTCAATAGGTGCATAAAAGACTTTCAGTAAAATCAACACCCCTTCATGTTAAAAACTCTCAATAAACTAGGTGTTGAAGGAGCATATCTCAAAATAGTAAGAGCCATCTATAACAAACTCACAGCCAAAATCATAATGAATGGGCAAACGCTGGAAGCATTCCCCTTGAAAACAAGCACAAGACAAGGATGCCCTCTCTCACCCTCTCTCATCACTCCTATTAAACAGTAGTGGAAATCCTGACCAGGGCAATCATGCAAGAGAAAGAAACAAAGGGCATCCAAATAGAAGAGAGGAAGTCAAATTATCCCTGTTTGCAAATGACTGGATTCTATATCTAGAAAACCCCATAGTCTCAGCCCACAGGCTCATTAATCTGATAAACAACTTTAGCAAAGTCTCAGGATATAAAATCAATGTGTAAAAATTACTAACATATCTATATACCAACAACAGTCAAGTGGAGAGCCAAATCAGGAATTCAATCCTGTTCACAATTACCATATACACACCCAAATATAAAATACTTGGGAATACAGCTAACCAGGGGCGGGGCAAAAAATCTCTACAAGGAGACCTACGGGGGCAAAAGATCTCTACCAGGAGATCTACAGAACACTGCTTAGGCCAGGCACAGTGGCTCATGCCTGTAATCCCAGCACTTTGGGATGCCAAGGCGGGTGGATCACCTGAAGGCAGGAGTTCAACACCAGCCTGGCCAACATGGTGAAACCCCATCTCTACTAAAAATACAAAAATTAGCCAGGCATGGTGGCGTGCATCTGTAGTCCCAGCTACTCGGGAGGCTGAGCCAGGAGAATGGCTTCAACCTGGTAGGTGGGGGCTGCAGTGAACCGAGATCATGCCACTGCACTCCAGCCTAGGTGACTGAGCAAGACTCCATCTCAAACAAACAAACAGCAACAACAACAACAAAAACACTGCTTAAAGACATCAGAGATGACACAAACAAATAGTAAAACATCCCATGTTCATGGATAGGAAGAATCAATATTGCTAAAATGACCATACTGCCCAAAGCAATTTATAGATTCAATGCTAGTCCTATTAAACTACCAATGATATTCTTCACAGAACTAGAAAAAAATATTTTAAAATTCATATGGAATAAAATAAAAGAGCTCAAATAGCCAAGGTAATCCTAAGCAAAAAGAAAAAAAGAGGCCGGGTGCGGTGGCTCACACCTGTAATTCCAGCACTTTGGGAGGCCCATCTCTACTAAAAATACAAAAAAAAAAAAAAAATAGCTGGGCGTGTTGGCAGGCACCTATAATTCCAGCTACTAGGGAGGCTGAGGCAGGAGAATTGCTTGAACCCAGGAGGCAGAGGTTGCAGGGGGCTGTGATCGCACCATTGCATTCCAGCCTGAGTGACAGAGTGAGACTCCATCTCAAAAAAGAAAAAAAAAAAAGCTGGTGGCATCATGCTACCCAACTTCTAACTATACAAATAGGGCTACAGTAACCAACAGCATGGTACACTGGTACAAAAATAGACACGTACACCAATGGAACAGAGTAAAGAACCCAGAAATAAGGCCGTACACTTATAGCTATCTGATCTTCGACAAACCTGACAAAAACAAGCAACAGGGGAAGGATTCCCTATTCAATAAATGGTTCTAGGATAACTGGCTAGCCATATGCAGAAGATTGAAACTAGACCCCTTACACCACATACAAAAATTAACTCAAGGTAGATTAAAGATTTAAATGTAAAACCTAAAACTAGAGAAACCCTGGAAGGCAACTTAGGCAATGCCATTCTGGACATAGGAATGAACAAAGATTTCATGACAAAGACACTAAAAGCAATGGCAGCAAAAGCAAAAATTGACAAATGGGATCTAATTAAACTAAAGAGCTTCTGCACAGCAAAGGAAATTATCAGTAGAGTGAAGAGACAACCTACAGAATGGGAGAAAAATTTTGCAAACTATGCATCTGTAAAAGGTCTAATATCCAGCATTCTATAAAGAGCTTGCATTTACAAGAGGAAAACAAACAACCCCATTAAAAAGTGGGCAAGGGACACGAAAACACTTTTCAAAAAAAGACATACATGTAGCCAACAAGAATATGAGAAAAGCTCAATATCACTGATTTAATGCAAATCAGAACCATAATGAGATACCATCACACACCAGTCAGAATGACCATTATTGAAAAGTCGAAAAAAAAAATAGATGCTGGCAAGGGTGCAGAGATAAAGGAATGTTTATGCACCATTGGTGAGAGTATAAATTAGTTCAACCATTGTGGAAAGCAGTAGGGTGACTCCTCAAAGAGATAAAAGCAGAACTACCATTTGACCCAGCAATGCTATTACTGGGTAGATACCCAGAGGAATATAAATTATATACCCAGAGGAATAGAAACCATTCTACCATAAAGACACGCACATGCAAATGTTCATTGCAGCACTATTCACAATAGAAAAGACATGGAATCAACCTAAATGCCTATCAATGGTAGACTGGATAAAGAATATGTGGTACATATACACCATGGAATACTATGCAGGCATAAGAATGAGATCATGTCTTTTGCAGGAACATGGATAGAGCTGGAGGCTATTATCCTTAGCAAATTAATGCAGGAACAGAAAACCAAACACTGATGTTCTCACTTATAAGTGGGAGCTAAATGATGAGAACTCATGAACACAAAGAAGGAAACAGCAGACCCTGGGGTTTACTTGAGGGTGGAAGGTGGGAGGAGGGAGAGCAGCAGAAAAGATAACTATTGGGTACTGGGTTTAATACCTGGGTGACAAAATAATCTGTACAACAAACCCCTATGACATGAGTTTAGCTATATAACAAACCTTCACATGTACCCCCAAACCTAAAATAACAGTTTTTTAAAAAGTCATTTTCATGATAGCTTAAGCTAGTTTGAACTGAGTTATTACTTGCAATAAAGATGTTTGAACAGATACATTAGGACCATGCCTTTAAGTAACTAAAATTTCACAATGTGTTTTAATATATAATACATCAAATTCTCCATCCATCATCCTTTCACCAAAAAAAACTCTTGACTTTTCTAATGCTCCTCTTTTCAGATAACACTTTAAATCGTTTTGTCAAGTTCCAAAAGATTTCCATTGTGGCATTGGTAATATTTTTTGTTAAAATTATCAATAAATTTTGGAAAACTGATATAGTTATAGTTTGTTGATTTAGAAACATGTTGAATGCCCAGTTTATTCATGTTATTTCCTGTAACTACCATTAATCTGTGGTTTCACAGTTCCTTTATTGTTTCACAGTTCTAGAGGCTAGGAGTCTGAAATCAAGGTGTTGGTAGCATTGATTCTTCCTGAGGCTATGAGGGGGCATCTGTTCCATGCCTCTTTCCTCTCTTTTGGTGGCTTATTGGCACCTCTCTTTTGGTGGCATTCCTTGGCTTGTAGATCCCTGCCCTCATCTCCATGTGGTATTCTCATTCTCCCTCTGTATCTGCCTGTGTCCATGTTTCCCCTTTATTATAAGGCCACCAGTCATATTGGATTAGAGCCCACCATAATAACCTCATTTTAACTTGATTACCTCTGTGAAGACCCCATCTCAAAAAAAAGCCACATTCTGACATACGTACTCAGGGCTAGGGCACCAACATATCTTCTGTTAGAAGGATACAGTTCAACCCACATGAGACCTGAAGATTTTGGATTTCTTCATATAGGTCACTGCTTCCTCAAACCGAATTCGAAGATATATTCTTTGATGTCACTAAATTCTCTATAAGAATGTAAATTTTTACTATCTTGATTTGAAATTAATATAAATAGATTATTCATGCCCATTAGTTTCTCTTACACGAAACAACTACAACAGCAATAATACCCTGCGTTAAAGAGGCGTTGCTGGGAGTCTGGGGATGCCAAGGTGGTTAGAGTTCTATGGGGGAAAGAACCAGGGAGGAGAAATGGAGAGAGACCCCTGTGATGGGCCGAGGGTCCCCCTCTAGTCTTCAGCTGAATACTGGCCCCAGAAGCACGTAGGGAAACTACCTGAGGCCAGGAAAGGAAGCACCTACAAAAGTTTTCTCAGGCTAAATGCAGGAAAAAAAAAAAGAGAGAGAGAGAGAGATTGATGTTAGAGAGTCAAAGTGTAGAAAGAACTGGAGCCACTGTTGGCTTTGGAGATGGAGGGAGTCGGAAGGCAGAGAATCGGGTGGCCTCTAGAAGCTGAGAATGACCCTGGCCAGTAGCCAGCAAGGAAGCAGAAACCTCTGAAGTTGCATGGAACTAAAATCCTGCTGATGTCCTGAATGAGTTAGTTGGAAGTGCGTTTATCCCCAGAGCCTCAAAAAGGAGCACAGTCCTGCCATTCCTTGAGTCCAATCTTGTAAAACAAAGTCACAGAACCAGCTGTCACTCTGGGTCCAGAATTCTGACCTACCAATCTATGAGAGAATAAATGTTTTTTGCTTAATAAATGATTGTTGACTGTTGTTTTTTGTTTGTTTTGTTTTGTTTGAGACAGAGTCTCGCTCTGCTGCCCAGGCTGGAGTGCAGTGGTGCAATCTTGGCTCACTGCAACCTCTGCCTCCTGGGTTCAAGTAACTCTCCTGCCTCAGCCTCCCAAGTAGCTGGGATTACAGGTGTCCACCACCACGCCCAGCTAATTTTTATATTTTTAGTAGAGACGGGGTTTCACCATCTTGGCCAGGCTGGTCTCGAACTCCTGACCTCGTGATTTACCCACCTCAGCCTCCCAGAGTGCTGGGATTAGATTGTTAAGATGCCACATTTGTGGGGATTTGTTATGATAGCAACAGAGAAACTAACATTAGTAGAGGCACAATAATATTGCAATATAGTGTCTGAGGTGAAAAATACATGAGAGAGAATTAACAGAAGTTTAGACTGAGTAAGACAAGACTAGTGAACTTGAAGAAACAGCAATAAAACTACCCCAAATGAAATACAGAAAAAAAAAAAAGACTGAAAATGGGGACTTTATTTAAAAAATGAATGGAGCATCCATACACCCAAGCATGATCTCAATAGATTGTTGTGAAGAAAAACACACTCACGGTGCTTTTTCCTATTCTATGCAAAACAACAGATCAACACAGAAGACTTCTGTGACCGAATGTGTGGGGTTGCTCTCAACCAACAAGCAAGCAATCAATTCTGCAGCAGCCAGCCGCTGAGTGTCCTCCAATTTGATTCTGACATTTTCTATGTGGAAAAAGTGTGAGATCCCACAGGTTGAGGGCTCAGTCCCCAAAACTGTACCCTCCTACAGATACCAGTTCCAAGTCTGGGCCTACAGAACTTCTGATCAGCCGGCTTCAAGTTGGGGTTCCCATAACTCCCTCTTCATTTTTTTTTTTTTTTGAGATAAAGTCTCACTCTGTCGCCAGGCTGGAGTGCAGTGGTGCGATCTCCGCTCACTGCAACCTCCACCTCCGGGTTCAAGCGATTTTCCGGCCTCAGCTTCTCGAGTAGCTGGGACTACAGGTACACAGCACCATGCCCAGCTAATTTTTTATATTTTTAGTGGAGATGGGGTTTTTAGTAGAGAGGGGGTATTTTTAGTAGAGATGGGGTTTCACCGTGTTGGCCAGGAAGGTCTTGATCTCCTGACCTTGTGATCCGCCCGCCTTCGCCTCCCAAAGTGCTGGGATTACAGGCGTGAGCCACCGCGCCCGGCCCCTCTTCAGTTTTGACTGATTTGCTGAGTGGCTCATGGAATTCAAGGAAACACCTAAATGTATTGGTTTATTATAAAGGATATTACAAAGGATAGAGATGAAGAGATGCATAGGGCGAGGCATGGGGGAAGGGTTGTGAAGCTTCCATGGCCTCCTTGGGCAAATATTCAGCTTTCTGGAAGCTCCTCCAAACTCTGTCCTTTCGGGCTTTTATGGAGGCTTCATTATATAGGCATGATTGACTAAATCATTGGCCACTGGCGATCAACTTAACTTTTAGCCTTCTTCCCCACTCCCTGGAGGTTGGCCAGTGAGGCTAAAAGTCCCACCTTCTACTCATGCCTTGGTCTTTCCAGTGACCAGTCCCACTTGGAGCTACCTATGGGCTGCAGCCAACAGTCAATCATTAGCATATGAAAAGTCATGACTTTGATGATTCTAAGGATTTTATGAGTTGTGTATCAGGAAACAGGAAATGGGGTTGAAGACCATATGTACATTTTATAATATCACACATGTCACAAAAGGTTAACAAAATCCAATACTCTTTGATAATAAAAACTCAACAAAGAAGAAACAGAGAACTACTTCAATCTGATAACGGCATCTACAAATATCCCCCAACTAACTTCACACTTAATGGTGAAAGACGAATGCTTTCCCCCTAACTCTAAGAACAAAACAAAAATGTCTGCTCTAGCTACTTCTATTCAAATTTATACTAGATCTCCTAGCCAGGAAAATTAGGCAAGAAAAAAAATAGAAGGCATCCGGATGGAGAAGAAGGAAGCAAAACAATGTTCATTCATAGCGGACAAAGCTCAAGATATAAAATGCACAGTTCTATCTATATTTATCTCTATATATTAAAAACCATGGATTGACACTGAACCCTCCGACTCCAATCTGACACCACAGAGTTCATTCCAGTTTCTCCATTTTCAAATCTGTAACTCCCTTCTCCAATAGTTAGACACCTAGATCCCTTTTATCCTCAGTAGATTTACTTTTTGAGCCAACAGTCCTTCTGTGTAACTAATCTCCGATAGCCACACCATCTTCTATTTGAATACATTCCTGTCTTCAGTCTCTGACCCCTCACCTGCGCTGGGTTGCTCTCCCCTAAGCAGTCACCTCACAGCCAGTTACGACTGCCAATACCCCCTTCTGGGGCAGACGCCCTTCTGCTCACTCAGCAGCCCTCGCTGGGTTGCCCACACCTTCACTCTCACTCCCCCCGTGGGTGATGCCCTCCTCACTCCTCTGGGGTTCCTATATTCCACACTGGGCCACTACCACTGCCTCCTCCTCATCTAGACACTCCACCTAATGGTTTTTAGGTTGAATTATTGAAGAGGAGAGGGAGGGAGGATGAGAGAGAGGGAGGGGAAGGGAACTTTTTTTAACCTCAACTACTTCTTACATTCTTGCCAATGCATCAAAGGTTTTTAATAAGTTGATAGTTCTCTGTGGTAGTGTCTACTAAAGGTTATCCTTTAGATGCCATGTGATCCAGAAATTCCAACATTAGGTAGATATACCCAAGTGTATATAGGTACAACAAAAGATGCATGTAATAATTTTCATAGGTGTGTTATTCGTAATAGCTAAACACTGCAGGAAAACATCCTACAATTGAGCAGACAAGTAAACTCTTTTCATGTGCTATATTCATACGATAGAATGCTATACACCAATAAAAACCAAACGACTGCACATAAAACAATATGGATGAGTCTCACAGTGGAGCGAAAGATGTCAGATGTAACAAAAGAAATATTGTGTGATTCTCAACAGGCAAAAATTACCTTTAAAGTCAGCTTGGTGGAAGGAGGGGTTTGTGACTAGAAGCACAGAGAAGCATAGGCTGGCTTTTGAAATGCCAGTAGGGTTACATTTGTTGATTTGAGTGGTTGCTATACAGGTGTGTTCATTTGTGATAACCTGACTATGCAATTATTTGCACATGTTTCTGTATGTATGTTAGACTTTAATAAAAACAGTTATTTAAACCAAAGTTGCTTTTTGTATTTTTAGTATTTTTGTTTTCCCTGGGAAGATGATCAGGGCTGTCACCTACCATTACATACCATTACACCAAGAACAAATTCCCTCTCTACGGTTCTGTGTATAGATTTGTAAATATTACTTTAATGAAAGTTTTTGTTTTGCTTTTTTTTTTTTTTGAGATGGAGTCTCGCTCCATTGCCCAGGTTGGAGTGCAGTGGCATGATCTTGGCCCACTGCAACCTCCACCTCCTGGGTTCAAACAATTCTCCTGCCTCAGCCTCCCGAGTAGCTGGGATTACAGGTGTGCACCACCACACCTGGCTAATTT